>NC_000022.11:29921685-30073200 GCF_000001405.40 Homo sapiens | reverse complement strand
GGTGGTGCACACCTGTAATCCCAGCTACTTGGGAGGCTGAGGCAAGAGAATTGCTTGAACCTGGGAGGCAGAGGTTGCAGTGAGCCCAGATTGTGCTACTGCACTCTAGCCTGGGCAGCAGAGTGAGACTCCATCTCAAAAAAAATTACAGCCATCCTACTGGGTGTGAAATGATATCTCATTGTGGTTTTGATTTGCATTTTCCTAATGACTAATGGTGTTGAACATCTTTTCATTTGCTTCTTGGCCATTTTGAAATCCGAGAAGTATATCTTTTGACTTTTTTCTTTTTCAAGATTGTTTTGGCTATTCTGAGTCCCTTGCATTTCCATTTGAATTTTAGGATCAGCTTGTTACTGCCTGCCAAAAAAGGCAACTGAGATTTTGATAGGGATTACATTGAATCTGTAGATCAATTTGGGGAGCATTGCTATCTGAATAATATTGTTTTTCAATCCACAAATATGGATATCTTCCCATTTATATAGGTTTTCTTTAATTTCTTTCAACAATGTTTATAGTTTTCAGTGTACAAGTCTTACACTTCTTTGGTTAAATTTATTCCTAAGATTTTTATTTTCTTTGATGCTTATATTAGTTTGCTTGGGCTGCAATAACAGAATACCACAAATAGTGTGGCTTAAACAATGGAAGCTGATCTTCTTACAGTTCTAGAGGCTGGAAGTCCAAGATTAAGGTGCCAGCAGAGTTGGTTTTGGGTGAGGCCTCTCTTCCTGGCTTGCAGACTGCCTCCTCCTTGCTGTGTCTTCACATAGTCTTTTCTCTGTGCATATGTGGAGAGAGAGATGTCTTTGATGTCTCTTCCTCTTGTTATAAGGACTCCAGTCCCTTTGGATTAGCACTCCACCCTTATGACCTCATTTAACCTTAATTACCTCCTTAAAGGTCCTGTCTCCAAGTATAGTAACATTGGAGGTTAGGGCTTCAACATATGAATTGGGGTTGGGGAGGGCATAATTCAGTCCTTAACAATGCTATTATACATGGAATTGTTTTCTTAATCTCATTTTGGGATTGTTCATTGCTAGTGTATAGAAAAATAATTGCTTTTCGTATATTAATCTTGCATCCTGTATCCTTGCTGAACTTGTATTAGTTCTCACCAATTTTTTTGTGAATTTTCTATAGACAAGATTTTGTCATCTGCAAATAAAGATAGTTTTAATTCTTCCTTTCTAATCTGGGTGCCGTTTATTTATTTTTCTTGGTTAATTTCCCCGGCTAGAACCTCCAGTACAATATTGAATAGAAGTGGCAAGAGCAGATATCCTTGTCTTATTCCTGATAAGGAATTTTCTTAGGGGAAAGCATTCAGTCTTTCACCAACAAGTATGATGTTAGCTGGGGCTTTTTGTAGATGCCCTTTATCATATTAATGGCTTTCCTTCTAGTCCCAGTTTGTGGAATGTTTTTTATCATAAAAAGATATTGGATTTTGGCCAGGCACAGTGGCTCACACCTGTAATCCCAGCACTTTGGGAGACCAAGACGGGCGGATCACCTGAAGTCAGGAGTTTGAGACCAGCCTGGCCAACATGGTGAAACCCCTTCTCTGCTAAAAATACAAAAATTAGCCAGGTGTGGTGGCAGGCGCCTATAATCCCAGCTACTCAGGAGGCTGAGGCAGGAGAATCGCTGGAACCCGGGAGGCAGAGGATGCAGTGAGCAGAAATCATGCCACTCCAGCCTGGCTGACAGAGAGAGACTCCATCTCAAAAAAAAAAAAAAGATATTGGATTTTATTTAATACTTTTTCTACATCTATTGATCATGTGAGTTTTATCCTTTATCCTTAGTATGTTAAATTGATTTTTATATATTGAACCAACCTTGCAATCCTGGGATAAATTCCATGTGGTTTGTGGTGTATATTCCTTTTTATATGTTATTGGATTTAGTTTGCCACTATTTGGGGGGAGTGTTGTGTCTATATTCATAAGGGATATTGATTTGTAGTGTTCTTGTGATGTTCTTTCTTCTGGTTTTGGTATACCCATCTCATAGAAGGCATTGAGAAGTGTTCTCTCCCCTTTTATTTTTTGGGAAGAGTGTGAATTCTTCTTTATATATCTGGTAGAATTCACCAGTGAAGCCATGTGGTCCTGGGCTTTTCTTTGTGGAAGGTTTGTTGTTGTTGTTGTTGTTGTTGTTGTTGTTGTTTTTAACTACTAATGCAATCTCTGCTTATTATAGGCCTATTCAGGTTATCTATATTTTCTTGAGTCATTCAGTAGTTTGTGTCTTTATAGGAATTTGTCCATTCCATCTAGTTTACCTAATTTGTTGGCATACAGTTGTTTTTTTTTCTTTTTGAGATGGAGTCTTGCTGTATCACCCAGGCTGGAGGGCAGTGGCGTGATCTCAGTTCACTGCAACCTCCGCCTTCCAGTTCAAGCAATTCTCATGCCTCAAGCCTCCCAATTAGCAGGGACTACAGGCACACACCACCAGGCCTGGCTATCTTTTTTTGTATTTTTGGTAAAGACAGGGTTTTGCCATGCTGCCCAGGCTGGTCTCAAACTCCTAGCCTCAAGTGATCCACCCACCTTGGCCTCCCAAAGTTCTGGGATTACAGGCATGAGCCACTGCTCCTGGCTGTCATGCAATTATTTATAAAATTCTCTTATAATCCCTTTTATTTCTGTAAGGTTGGTAATAATGTACCTCTTTCAATCCTAATTTTAGTAACTTCAGTCTAATTTTTTTCTTAGTCTGCCTTGCTAAAGATTTGTCAATTTTGTTGATTTTTTTTTCCAAGAAACAACTTTTGGTTTTATTGATTTTCTCTATTGTTTTTCTATTCTCAATTTTGTTTGTTTCTACTCTAATCTGTATTATTCCCTTCTTTCTGCTTGCTTTGGATTTAGTTTTCTCTTCTTTTTTGAGTTTCTTAAAATGTAAGATTAGGTAATTTATTCAAGGTCTTTATTTAATGTAGCATTTACAGCTATAAATTTCCCACTTAGGTGTGTGTTAGCTGCATCTCATACATTTTACTACATTGTTTTTGGTGGGGTTTTTTTGTTTTGTTTTGTTTTTGTTTTTTTGAGATGGAGTCTTGCCCTGTCACCCAGGCTGGAGTGCAGTGGTGCAATCTCAGCTAACTGCAACTTCCACCTCCCAGGTTCAAGCAATTCTCATGCCTGAGCCTCCCGAGCAGCCGGGATTACAGGTGCATGCCACCACACCCAGCTACTTTTTGTATTTTTAGTAGAAATGGGGTTTAACCATGTTGGACAGGCTGATCTCGAGCTCATGACCTCAGGTGATCCACCAGCCTTGGCCTCCCACAGTGCTGGGATTACAGGTCTGAGCCACCATGCCCAGCCCTAATTTTGCTACATTGTGTTTTTGTTTTCATTCACTTCAAAGTATTTTCTAGTATCTCTTGTGATTTCTTCTTTGACCTAATAGGTATTTTGGAGTGTGTTTTGTGGTTTCCACATATTTGTAAATTTCCCAAATTTCCTTCAGTTGTTGATTTATTGTGATATTGCTTGCAGTGACAGAATATACATTGTATGATTTCAGTCCTTTTAAATTTATTGACACTTGTTTTATAGCCTGACATATGGTCTATTCTGGGGACTATTCCATGTGCACTTGAGAAAATGTATAGTCTGCTGGTTTTGGGTGGAAAGTTCTATTGATGTTCCTTAGATCTAGTTAGTTTGTAGTGTTGTTCAAGTCTTCTATTTCCTTGTTGGTCTTCTGTCTAGTTGTTCTATCTATTTCTGAGAGGGAAGTATTATTTCTCTAATTAGTATTGTTGAATTGTTTATTTCTCCCCTTATTTATTTTTTGCTTCATGTATTTTGAGGCTCTGTTGTTAGGTAGATATTTGTTTCTAATTGTTGTATCTTCTTTTTTGTTGTTGTTGTTCTGTTGCCCAGGCTGGAGTGCAGTGGCATGATCTTGGCTCACTGCAACCTCCAACTCCCAGGTTCAAGCGATTCTCCTGCCTCAGCCTTCTGAGTAGCTGGGATTACAAGCACCCCATACCACACCCAGCTAATTTTTGTATTTTTAGTAGAGACAGGGTTTCACCATGTTGGCCAGGTTGGTCTCGAACTCCTGATCTCAAGTGATCCACCCACCTCGGCCTCCTAAAGTGCTGGGATTATAGGCATGAGCCACTGCACCCAGCCTGTATCTTCTTGATAGACTGACTTTTAAAATCATTATTAAATGTCCTTTTTTGGTGTCTAGTAACACATTTTATCTTAAAGTCTTTTTTTGTCTGGTATAAGTATAGCTACTCCAGCTCTTTTCTTTGACAATAATAAAAATGCCAGATGGGCCCGGAGTGGTGGCTCACTCCTATAATCACAGAATTCTGGGAGGCTGAAGTGGGAGGATCTCTTGAGGCCAGAAGTTCAAGACCAGCCTGGCCAACAAATAAGACCCTGTCTCTAAAAAAAAAAAATACTTAATAATTAGCTGAGTTTGGTAGCCTGCACCTGTAGTCCCAGCTACTCAGGAGGCTGAGTTGGAAGGATCACTTGAGCTCAGGATTTTGAGGCTGCAGTTAGCTATGATTGTGCGTTGCACTCTAGCCTGGATGACAGAGTGAGATCCTGTTTCTTAAAAAAAAAAAAAAAAGGGTGGGGAGAGAGATAAAGATCGCTTGAGCCCAGGAGTTCAAGACCAGCCTGGGCAATACAGATGCCATCTCTAAAAAAACTTTCTAAAATTAGCTGGGTGGGATGGCATGTGCCTTTAGTCCCAACTACTTGGGAGGCTGGGGTAGGATTGCTTAAGACCAGGAGTTCAAAGTTGTAGTGAGTTGTGATCACACCACTGCACCCCACCTGGGCAACAGAACAAGATTGAATCATTTCAAAAGATTAAAATAAGTGAAATAAACTGTATCTCTTATAGACAGAATATGGTTGGATCATGTTGTTTTTATCCATTTTTCCAATCTCTGCCTTTTGATTGGAGTGCTTAATCCATTGCTAACAAGGTTGGATTTATGTCTGTAATTTTGCTATTTGTTTTCTATATGTCTTATGTGTTTTTATTTCTTTCTCCCTTACTGCTTTTTTTGTAGATATTTTCCAATGTGCCATTTTAACTTCTTGTCATTTCTTTTCCTATATATTCTAAAAATATTTTCTTTTTAGATTTATTTTATTTTATTTATTTATTTATTTTATTTTTGAGATGTAGTCTCACTCTTTTGCCCAGCCTATAGTGCAGTGGCACGATTTCAGCTCATTGCAGCTTCTGCCTCCCGGGTTCAAGCGATTCTCGTGCCTCGGCCTCCCGAGTAGCTGGTACTACAGGCGCACACCACCACATCCTGCTAGTTTTTGTATTTTTAGTAGAGACAGGGTTTCACCATGTTGGCCAGGCTGGTCTCAAACTCCTGACCTCAAGTGATTCACCTGCCTTGGCCTCCCAAAGTGTTGGGATTACAGGCATAAGCCACTGCACCAGGCAATTTATTTTATTTTTTTAGAGACAAGGTCTCACTCTGTCATCCAGGCTGGAGTGCAGTGGCACAATCATAGCTCACTGCGGCCCTGAACTTTTGGGCTCAAGTGATCCTCCCAACTAAGCCTCCTGAATAGCTGGGACTACAGGCATGTGCCACCATGCCCAGCAAATTTTTTTTTTTTTTGGATTTTTTATAGAGCTAGGTTTTCTTTTTTTTTTCTTTTTTTTTTTTATTGATCATTCTTGGGTGTTTCTCGCAGAGGGGGATTTGGCAGGGTCATAGGACAATAGTGGAGAGAAGGTCAGCAGATAAACAAGTGAACAAAGGTCTCTGGTTTTCCTAGGCAGAGGACCCTGCAGCCTTCCTCAGTGTTTGTGTCCCTGGGTACTTGAGATTAGGGAGTGGTGATGACTCTTAAGGAGCATGCTGCCTTCAAGCATCTGTTTAACAAAGCACATCTTGCACCACCCTTAATCCATTTAACCCTGAGTGGACACAGCATGTTTCAGAGAGCACAGGGTTGGGGGCAAGGTCATAGATCACCAGCATCCCAAGGCAGAAGAATCTTTCTTAGTACAGAACAAAATGGAGTCTCCTATGTCTACTTCTTTCTACACAGACACAGCAACAATCTGATTTCTCTATCTTTTCCCCACATTTCCCCCTTTTCTATTCCACAAAACCGCCATCATCATCATGGCCCGTTCTCAATGAGCTGTTGGGTACACCTCCCAGAGGGGGTGGCGGCCAGGCAGAGGGGCTCCTCACTTCCCAGAAGGGGCGGCCGGGCAGAGGCGCCCCCCACCTCCCTCCCGGACAGGGCGGCTGGCCGGGCGGGGGCTGCCTCCCACCTCCCTCCCGGACGGGGCGGCTGCCGGGCGGAGACGCTCCTCACTTCCCAGATGGGGTGGCTGCCGGGCGGAGGGGCTCCTCACTTCTCAGATGGGGCAGCTGCCGGGAGGAGGGGCTCCTCACTTCTCAGATGGGGCGGCCGGGTAGAGACGCTCCTCACCTCCCAGACGGGGTCGCAGCCAGGCAGAGGCGCTCCTCACATCCCAGACGGGGCGGCCGGGCAGAGACGCTCCTCACTTCCTAGACAGGATGGCGGCTGGGAAGAGGCGCTCCTCACTTCCCAGACTGGGCAGCCGGGCAGAGGAGCTCCTCACATCCCAGACGATGGGTGGCCAGGCAGAGACGCTCCTCACTTCCCAGACGGGGTGGCGGCCGGGCAGAGGCTGCAATCTTGGCACTTTAGGAGGCCAAGGCAGGCGGCTGGGAGGTGGAGGTTGTAGCTAGCTGAGATCACGCCACTGCACTCCAGCCTGGGCAACATTGAGCACTGAGTGAACGAGACTCTGTCTGCAATCCTGGCACCTCGGGAGGCCGAGGCTGGCAGATCACTCGCGGTTAGGAGCTGGAGACCAGCCCGGCCAACACAGCGAAACCCCGTCTCCACCAAAAAAATACGAAAACCAGTCAGGCGTGGCGGCACGTGCCTGCAATAGCAGGCACTGGGCAGGCTGAGGCGGGAGAATCAGGCAGGGAGATTGCAGTGAGCCGAGGTGGCAGCAGTACAGTCCAGCTTCGGCTTGGCATCAGAGGGAGAGCATGGAAAGAGAGGGAGAGGGAGACCGAGAGGGAGAGGGAGAGGGAGACAGAGGGAGGGAGAGGGAGAGGGGGAGAGGGAGGGGGAGGGAGAGGGAGGTTTTCACCATGTTGCCCAGCTGGTCTCAAACTCCTGGGCTCAAGCCAGTCACCTGCCTCAGCCTCCCAAAATGCTAGGATTACAGGTGTGAGCCACCATGTCCAACCAGTTAATTTTATTTTTAAAAATTTTTGTAGAGATGAATATTGCTATGTTGCCCAGGCTGGTCTCAAACTCCTGGCCTCATTAGCTGGGTGTGGTGGTGCTTGCTTGTAATCCCAGCTACTCAGGAGGCTGAGATCAGGAGAATCATTTGAATCCAGGAGGCAGAGGTTGCAGCGAGCCAAGATCACACCACTGCACTCCAGCCTGGGTGACAGAGCAAGGCTCTGTATCAAAAACAAAACAAAAACAAAAACAAAAAAACTCCTAGCCTCAAGTGATCCTCCTGCTTCAGCCTCATAAAATACTGGAATTACAGGCATGAGCCACTGTACCTGGCCTAAAGTTATTTTCTTAGTGGTTTCCTGGTGATTGTAATTAACATCTTAGTTTGTAGTAATCTAGTTCAGATTAATACAATGTATTGAGTGAATTTATTTTACAAAATGAATTTATTATAGAAAAACTTTCTTTCTATGTAGCTCCATTCCTTGTCCCTTCCTTTATGCTTTTTTTTTTTTTTTTTTTGAGACAAGGTCTCATTCTGTTGCCCAGGTTAGAGTGCAGTGGCATGATCTCAGCTCACTGCAACTTCCATCTCCCAAGTTCAAGTCATTCTCATGCTTCAGCCATCTGAGTAACTGGGATTACAGGCATGCGCCACCACAGTCAGCTAATATTTGTTATTTTTAATAGAGACTGGATGTCACCATGTTGCCCAGGCTGGTCTTGAACTCCTGAGTTCAAGCAATCCACCCACTTCGGTCTACCAACGTACTGGGATTACAGATGTGAGCCCCTTTATGCTATTTTTTAACATACGTAAACCTCTTTATATATTATAAGCCCATTAACACCACTTTATTAGTATTGCTTTATGCCATTGTCTTTTAAATTAGATAGAAGAAAAAATTACAAAAAATACATTTATGTTATCTTTTATATTTAGCTTTGTAGTTACCTTTACCAAAGTGTTCTTTATTTCTTCATGTGGATTTGAATTACTGACTAGTTTCCTTTCATTTCAGCCTGAAGGACTCCCTGTAGAATTTCTTGTAGAGCAGGTCAAGTTTTGTTTATCTGGGAATGTCTTAATTTCTCCTTTGTTTTTGAAGGATAGTTTTTCAAGATACAGAATTCTAGATTCACAGTACTTTTTCCTTTCAGGACCTTGAATATGTTATCCCACTACCTTCTGACCTAAATGGTTTCCAAGGAGAAATGAATTCATCTTATGGAGGATTCTTTGTATGTGATTAATTGCTTCTCTCTTGTTGGTTTCTAAATTGTCTCTTTGTCTTTAACCATCAATCATTTGATTATGATGTATCTACATATTGGTCTCTGATTTTATTCTATTTGTAGCTTACTGAGCTTCTTGGATGTGTAAATTAATGCTTTTCACTATATTTGGGAAGTTTCTGGCCATTATTTCTTTGGATATTATTTATCTGACTTCCCTCCTTCTGGAACTTTCATTATGCCTATATATTGATACAGTTGATAGTGTCCTCCACCTATTCCTCCTCAACTGGATAACCTCAAATCATGTATTTTCACATTCACTGATTCCTTCTTCTGTTAGTTCAAATATACTGTTGATCCCCTCTGGTGAATTTTTCATTTCAGTTACTATACTTTTTAACTCCAGAATTTTTTTTTTTTTAGTTCTTTTTTAAAATAATTTCTTTCTCTTTATTGATATTCTACATTTGGCAAGATATCATTCTCATATTTTCCTTTAGGTTTTTAGCCCATGGTTTTCTGTAGTTCTTTGTGTATATATATATACACAACATATAGGGAGGATACAATGATTAAATTATGCTTAGAAAAAAGTAGTGGTATACAGTTTAAATTGGAAAGGGGGATAGCTAGAAGTCAGTTGCTTGGTTTGGATGCCTCTATAATAATCAAGGTAAGAAGGAACTAGGATCTGAGTTGGAGTGGTGCCAAGAGAATGAAAGGAGGGAATATTGCAAAAAAACACTGTGTAATTAATACTGACAGGTCCTGGAAACTAAATGATTGTGGGATAGAGGGAAAAAGAAGAATAAAATAGAATGCATATATATATATATGAACTGATTTATAGTCTTTGTCTACTAAGTCCAACATCCAGGCTTCTTCAGAGATTATTTCTCTTGACTGCTTTTTTTTCTGTGTATGGTCATACTTTCTTGTTTTTTTTCCTATGTCTTAGAATTTTGTTGAAAATTGGAAAATTTAAGTAATGTGGAAATCATATAATAATCTGAAAATCATATTCCCCACCCTAGGGCTTGTTGTTGTCATTTGCTTCTGTAGTGACTTCCCTGAACTAATTTTGCAAAGTCTGTATTCTTTGTTGTGTGTGGCTGTAGAAGTCTCTGCTTGAAAAGCATTCTATTTTGTTCTTCTTTTTCCCTCTATCCCACATTTATTTAGTTTCCAGGACCTGTCAGTATTAATTACACAATTTTTTTTTTCAATATTCCCTCCTTTCATTCTCTTGGCACCACTCCAACTCAGATCCTAGTTCCTTCTTACCTTGATTATTATAGAGGCATCCAAACCAAGCAACTGACTTCTAGCTATCCCCCTTTCCAATTTAAACTGTATATCACTACTTTTTTCTAAGCATAATTTAATCATTGTATCCTCCCTAACCAAATAAAGTTTTTTAAAAAAATGCAAGGCTGATTAGGTTTGGAGAGACTTGCCCATATTTGTATACTGAGAAAAACCTTGTCTCAAGGGAGTGCCTGCATATAGGATAGTGTGGGGAGTAACTGAGAGCATAAAGTCCTAGAGGAAGCAAGAGGGACTTTGATCAGGAAGACCCGCCTTGTGTACAATCAGAGGGCCTTTATTTTCTGACACAGGATTGAAGGTGCTAAGGATGTATTGATATGGTATAGGTGTTATAGGACAGATGAAAGAGAGAGAGTATAAGGATATTATCTCCTCTTTTATAGAGGGGTCATCTGCTCAGAGAGGGTTAAGTGTGATCCTGGAGTCTTAGAGAGAATAGTTTCAGAATAGTCACCGAAAAATGAGAAAGATTTTTACTTGGGAAGTTTAAAAGGATTATAAGGACTTTTATGAAACATTCTAGGTAACATTGTCACTGTGTCTTTAAAGTTCTTAGTGACATTGGGCTTCATTAAAGAAACCAACTTTTTTCTGCCGGTGCTCAGAAACTGATGCCCCAAAATACGGTGCTTTGACATGCTGAACTGAAAAAGTAGTTTCTCAAGGTCTCTCTGATCTTCCCCTCTCTTTCTACCTCCCCCGCCCACCGCCCCCAACTACTGTCTCCTAATCTTCTGTCTCTCCCTAAGCACAGGATAAAGTTTCCTTATCTGCCTAAAGTCTGAACCCACCAAAGAAAAAAATAATTGCCTCTGGTCCCTTCCCTGAGTTTTCATTGACTGAACTTATATTGCAGGAAGAAAGACTGAAGTCTGTCAACACAGCTGGACAGACTTTTGTCACAAACCATTGTCTGCTCTGTGGGCCCAACGGACTTTGTTCCAGGCCATTATATGTTCTTCAAGTCCATTGAATTCCCTAAAAAATCATTTAGTATCCCCCCAACATCATCCACACTTCCTCATCTCCCTTTCCCATGGTGGGGTGATCACTCTGTGATTCTCCCCATGCACATTAATAGATTTGTTTGCCTTTTCTCCTATAATCTGCCTTTAGTCAGTTGATTTTCAGTAAACATTCAGAGGGGAAAGGGGAAGTTTTCCCTTGGTCCCTACATATTGTATTTGAAGATGTCCACTTAAGGTTGATCTTTGTGGGCTGAGGTATATTTATGATGTATTTTTTAAAACTTTGTTTTGCTACCACATGTCCGATGGGCCAATAAAAATAATCACATTTTAAGCATGCTTTCCCATACATATTTTCCGATGATCAGCACAACCACCCTCAGAGACAGGCAGTGCACAGATTGCTTTCGCTTTTTTTTTTTTTTTTGACAGAGTCTTGCTCTATTGCCCAGGCTAGAGGGCAATGGCGCAATCTTGGCTCACTGCAACTTCCCCCTCCTGGGTTCAAGCAATTCTCCTGCCTCAGTCCCCGCAAGTAGCTGGGATTACAAGCATGCACCAACACACCTGGCTAGTTTTTGGATTTTTAGTAGAGATGGGGTTTCACCATGTTGGGCAGGCTGGTCTCAAACTCCTGACCTCAGGCTATTTGCCCGTCTCAGCCTCCCAACGTGCTAGGATTGCAGGTGTGAGCCACCACGCCTAACCTGCTTTCGCTTTTTCACAAATGAGAAAATACTTAGAAGTTTATAGACCAGGCCGGGCACAGTGGCTCATGGCTGTAATCCCAGCATTTTGGGAGGCCGAGGCAGGTGGATCACGAGGTCAGGAGTTCAAGACCAGCCTGACCAACATGGTGAAATCCCGTCTCTACTAAAAATACAAAAATTAGCTGGAGGTTGTGGCATGGGCCTATAATCCCAGCTACTTGGGAGCTGAGGCAGGAGAATCACATGAACCCGGGAGGCGGAGGTTGCAGTAAGCCGAGATGGTGCCATTGCACTCCAGCCTGGGCGACAGAGTGAGACTCCATCTCAAAAAAAAAAAAAAGTTTATGGACCTGGATCTGTGCAGACTAAACATTGCGTATAGCAATCCAGGACTCAATCAAGTTTTACAATCTTGGTTTAATGCTCTAAGTTCTGCTCTTTGCAACATGAGCATTAACAGCTATAAGAAGAGAACAGTCCTTGTGGGTAAGAAATTCTGTTTTCTGGGCCAGGCACAGTGGCTCAGGCCTGTAATCCCATCACTTTGGGAAGCCGAGGCAGGTGGATCACCTGAGGTCAGGAGTTCCAGACCAGCCTGACCAACATGGAGAAACCCCGTCTCTACTAAAAATACAAAATTAGCCAGGCATGGTGGCACATGCCTGTAATCCCAGCTACTTGGAAGGCTGAGGTAGGGGAATCCCTTGAACCTGGGAGGTGGAGGTTGCAGTGAGCCGAGATTGTGCCATTGCACTCCAGCCTGGGCAATAACAGTGAAACTCTGTCTCACTCTTTTTTTTTCAGAAAAAAAAAAAAGAAAAGAAATTCTGTTTTCCAGCTGCAACACATGACATAGAACACCTGAGCAATAACCACAATTAGGGTGACAGTGAGAGCTGAAAGGCAGCAGAGAGGGCAAAGAATAGTGACAATTCAAGCCTTCCAATTTATAAGGTCCCATTTAATGTGTTATTTCATTTGATGCTACAACAATCTTATGGGGAAATTATGATTATACCCATTTTTAAACTTGTTAGGAAACAATTGCTGAGAACTTGAAATATTTGTCTAAGGACACGCAACTGGTAAGTGGTAAAGTTGGAGATTCAAACTCAGATCAACTTATTACAAATCTCATTCTTTTCACTAAACTTGATCATCCTTGGAATCATTGGCCAGATTCTTGATCTTTTTTATTTTCTTTTTTCTTTTCTTTTTTTTTTTTTTAATTGATCGTTCTTGGGTGTTTCTCGCAGAGGGGGATTTGGCAGGGTCATAGGACAATAGTGGAGGGAAGGTCAGCAGATAAACAAGTGAACAAAGGTCTCTGGTTTTCCTAGGCAGAGGACCCTGCAGCCTTCCTCAGTGTTTGTGTCCCTGGGTACTTGAGATTAGGGAGTGGTGATGACTCTTAAGGAGCATGCTGCCTTCAAGCATCTGTTTAACAAAGCACATCTTGCACCGCCCTTAATCCATTTAACCCTGAGTGGACACAGCATGTTTCAGAGAGCACAGGGTTGGGGGCAAGGTCATAGATCACCAGCATCCCAAGGCAGAAGAATCTTTCTTAGTACAGAACAAAATGGAGTCTCCTATGTCTACTTCTTTCTACACAGACACAGCAACAATCTGATTTCTCTATCTTTTCCCCACATTTCCCCCTTTTCTATTCCACAAAACCGCCATCATCATCATGGCCCGTTCTCAATGAGCTGTTGGGTACACCTCCCAGAGGGGGTGGCGGCCAGGCAGAGGGGCTCCTCACTTCCCAGAAGGGGCGGCCGGGCAGAGGCGCCCCCCACCTCCCGGACGGGGCGGCGGCCGGACGGAGGCGCCCCCCACCTCCCTCCCGGACGGGGCGGCTGGCTGGGCAGGGGCTGCCCCCCACCTCCCTCCCGGACGGGGCGGCTGGCCGGGCGATCTTTTTTATTTTCATTTGTCTAAAGATATTTTTGAATTTCCCTGGTGAGTGCCTCCTTGATCCATTGTTTATTCCAATGTGTTGTTTAATTTCCACATACTTAGGAATTTTTCAGTTTTCCTTTTGTATAGATTTCTAGTTTTATTTCATTGTAGTCAGAAAAGATACCTGGTATGACTTCAGTCTTCTTAAACTTGTTAAGACCTGTTTTGTGGCTTAACAAGTGATCTGTCTTGGAGAATGTTTCATGTATGCTTGAGAAAAATGGGTATTCACCATTATCACTGTTATTGGGTGGACTGTTCTGTATAGGTCCAATTGGTATATAGTGTCGTTCAAATCTTTTATTTATTTATTGATCTTATGACTGGTTGTTCTACCCATTGTTGAATATAGGTTATTGAAATCTACTATTTTTGTGTTACTGTCTGTTTCTCCTTTCAATTCCATTAATGTTTGCTATAGCTATTTGGATGCGCTTATGTTAGGCACATATATAATTCTTATGTCTTCTTGGTGAATTAATGCCTTTATCATTATATGATGTTCTTCTTTGTCTCTTGTGACAGTTTTTGACTTAAAGTCTATTTTGTTGGATATAAGTGTGGCCTCTTTGCTCTCTTTTGGTTACTATTTGTATGGAATATATTTTTCCATCCTTTCATTTTCAGCCTTTGTGTGTCCTTATGTCTAAACTGAGCCAGTAGACAGCATATAGTTGGATCTTGTTTTTTAAATCCATTCAGCCACTCTATGTCTGTTGATTTGAGAGTTTAATCTATTATACATTTAAAGCAATTACTGATAGAGGAGGACTTACTGTTGCCATTTCTTTCTCTTTTTAAATGTCTTGTAGTTAATTTGTCCCCTTTTTCTTCTCTTGGTGTCTTCCTTTGTGTTTCATTAATTTTTTGTAGTGACATGCTTTGATTCCTTTGTCAGTTTTTTTTTAATCTTCTATAGGTATTTCCTCTGTGGTTACCATGGGTTTTACATAAGGCATCTTATAACAATCTATTTTAAACTGATAACAACTTAACTTCAATTGCATATGAAACTTTACTCCTTTACATCCCCCCTTTATGTTATCAAGGTCATAAATTACATCTTTTTATATTTGTATCATTAATATAGTTTTATAGTTATAATTATTCTTATGATTTTACCTTTTTAATTCTGTACCAGAATTAAATGTTATTTATATGCCACCATTGCAGTATTACAGGATTTTGTATTTGTCTATATATTTACCAGACAGCTTTATATTTTTATATGCTTTTGTGTTGCTATCTAGTATCCTTTAGTTTCAACTTGAAAGAATTCCTTTAGCATTTCTTATAAGGCAGGTCTAGTGGTGAGTACTCCCTAAGCTTTTGTTTATTTGGGAGGGTCTTTAGTTCCTTTCATTTTTGAAAAATAGTTTTGCTGGCTCAGGCTTGTAATCCCAGCACTTTGGGAGGCCGAGGCAGGCGGATCACGAGGTCAGGAGATTGAGACCATCGTGGCTAACACGGTGAAACCCCGTCTCTACTAAAAATACAAAAAATTAGCCGGGCGTGGTGGCCAGCACCTGTAGTCCCAGCCACTGGGGAGGCTGAGGCAGGAGAATGGCGTGAACCCAGGAGGCAGAGCTTGCAGTGAGCCGAGATTGTGCCACTGCACTCCAGCCTGGGCAACAGAGCAAGACTCTGTCTCAAAAAAAAAAAAAAAAGAAAAAGAAAAATAGTTTTGCTAGATATAGTGTTCTTGGTTACTAGTTTTTCTTTTTTATTCTTTTTTTGAGACAGGGTCTTACTCTGTCACCCAGACTGGAGTGCAGTGGCACAATCATGATTTATTGCAACTGCAACCTCTCAGGCTCAGGCAATCCTGCCTCAGCCGCCTAAGTAGCCAGGACTACAGGCACATGTCAACGTGCCCAGCTGATTTTTATTTAAAAAAAAAAAAATGTATAGAGACGGGTCTCCCTGTGTTGCCCAAGCTAGTCCTGAACTCCTGGGCTCAAATAATCCTCTCACCTCAGCCTCCCAAAGTGCTTGGATTACAGGTGTGAGCCACCATGCCCACCCTTTTGGGTTTTTTTCTTTTAGCACTTGGAAAATGTCATTAAATTCATCCACTCCCTTCTGGTCTGTAAGGTTTCTGCTGAGAAATCCACTAATAATATTATGGGAGCTCTCTTGTATGTGATGAGTTGCTTTTCTCTAGCTGCTTTCAAGATTCTCTTTTTGTCTTTGACTTTTGACAGTTTTATTATAACACATCTCTTGCCGGCCCATTTGGGTTCATTCTGGTTAGAATATTTTGAGCTTCTTGAATTTTTTGGGTTTTTTTTGAGACAGGATCTTGCTCTGTTGCCCAGGCTGAAGTGCAGTGGTGTGATCACAGCTCACTGCAGCCTCAACCTCCTGGGCTTGAGGGATCCTCCCACCTCAGCCTCCCAGGTAGCTGGGACTATAGGTGTGAACCACTACACCTGGCTAATTTCTGTATTTTTTGTAGAGATGGGATTTCACCATGTTGCCCAGGCTGGGAACTGCTGGGCTCAAGCGATCTGCCTGCCTGCCTTGGCCTCCCAAAGTGCTGGGATTACAGGTGTGAGCCACTGCACCTGGCTGAGCTTCTTGACTTTGGATGTCCATTTTCTTTCTCAGATTTGGGAAGTTTTAGGCTATTATTTCTTCAGATAAGCTCTTTGTGCTCTTCTCTCTCCCTTCTCCTTCTGGAACTTCCCTAATGCATATATTGGCCTACTTGATGGTGTTCCATAAGTTCCTTAGGCTTTGTTCATTTTTCTTTATTCTTTTCCTCTTTTGCTCCTCTCACTTGATCATTTTAAATGACCTGTCTTTAACTTTGCTGATTCTTGCTTCTGCTTGATCAAGTCTGCTGCTGAACTTTTCTAGTGAATTATTTTCTTTAGTTACTGTATCCTTTTTTTTTTTTTTTTTTTTTTTTTTTTTGAGACAGGGTCTCACTCTGTTGCCCAAGCTGGAGTGCAGTGGCATGATCTTGGCTCACTGCAACCTCTGCCTCCCAGGCTCAAGGGATCCTCCCACCTTAGCCTCTCAAGTAGCTGGGACTATAGGTGTGAGCCACCATGCCTGGCTGGCTTCTATTTCTTTAGGATCAGTTTCTGGTGATTTACTTTGATCCTTTGATTGGGCCATGTTTCCCTGTTTCTTCATATGTCTTATTAATTCTTGTTGGAATTTAAGCATTTGTAAAAACAGCAACTTCTCCCAGTCTTTATAGACCGGCTTCATACAGCGGAAGAACTTCATCAATCAGTCCAGCTAGAGATTCTGTGGGCCTCTCAAACCTTTTCTGGGGATGCATCTCTCCGGGCTTGTGCATATAATTTCCCAATTAGAAAAGTTTGCTGGTTTTTATCAGGAGCTCATAATTTCTTGCTGCTTCCATTGTCTGTTTTCAGTACTGCAGGTTTTCTGGTGCTGCAACAAGCTGCTGAGCTGTCTCAAGGGCCCTCATGTATCCAAAGTATGCTAGTTCTCTGTCAGCATTCAGAGTCACACAAAACAGAAACCAGTCCCTTGGGTAGTTTCCCCAAAAAGCTGGAACATTAGATGTAAATTCCATTCTTTTCATTCCCTCCCATGGAAGAAGCCATGAGTTGGGCATTTTTTTATGATTACACTGAGCTGTGCTGGCTTGTGGAGAAAGGACTATCATGAGTGAAGGCAATGGCTTCTTACCTGTTTCCATGCAGCTGTTTTTGGCTTTGCACTTGCCTGGGGTACTGTGACTTCTTTTTTTTTTTTTTTTTTTGAGATGGAGTCTCGCTCCCATTGCACAGGCTGGAGTGCAGTGGCACGACCTTGGCTCATTGCAACCTCCACCTCCTGGGTTCAAGCGATTCTCCTACCTCAGCCTCCCAAGTAGCTGGGATTACAGGCATGCACCACCACGCCTGGCTAATTTTTGTATTTTTAGTAGAGATGGGGTTTCACCATGTTGGCCAGGCTGGTCTTGAACTCCTGACCTCAGGTGATCCACCCACCTCAGCCTCCCAAAGTGCTAGGATTACAGGTGTGAGCGACTGTGCCCGGCCTCTGTGACTTCTTACTTGAGTTTTGGAGTTCTCATAAAGGCTTTTTAAACTGTATGTTATTGTTAAGTAAGTGTCTATGTATTTTTTAGTGACAGGGTCTCACTCTGTCACCCAGGTTGGAGTGCAATGGCACAATCATAGCTCACTGCAGGGTTGAACTCCTGGGCTCAAGCGATTCTCCTCCCTCGGCCTCACAAGTAGCTAGGACTACAGGCATTCACCACCATGCCTGGCTAGTTTTTTATTTTTAAATTTTTTTGTAGAGATGAGTCTCACTATGTTGCCCAGGCCAGTCTTGAGCTTCTGGGCTCAAGCAATCCTCCCACCTCAGCCTCTCAAAGTCCTGGGATTACAGGTGTGAACCGCCATGCCCAGCCCAGTGTTTCTTTAGGGGACCAAGGTCTGTGGCTTCCTATTCCACTCTCTTGCTGACATCCCTCCAGATTCTTAATCTTTCTGAGTTGCGGGATATTTGACAATCTGACAAAAGCTGTGAAACATCTTTTACCTAGAAAAAATACACAAACAGAAATTATGAGATATGAATTTTGAGAGAATTATATGCCCTCACATGCACATGAATATATAGCTATTCACGAAGCCTGGTTTAAAAATCTTGATACAGTCTGTGCAGTAAAGCATTAAATCAGCAGGCTTGGGTTACTTAAGCCCTGCATATTCCAAATAATGGCCTGGCCCTTGACCAGCTTCTGGGAGATAACTTCTGAAGCTTGAAATATCCTGCCTGATAAGAGTGTCTTTGTATGCCTGAGGCCTTGGGCCACACTGCATCTGTTTGTCCAGGTAGATTATGCTAACAATGTGATTTATGGTGAATGCCTATTTTTGTATGCCTGAAATCCTGGACCACACAGTGTCAATTTGACCTGTGCAGCTGGAGATTGACAGCTAAGGTCATTTACACAGGGGCTGCATACCTATATGACTGCCTCCAGTTAAAATCCTGAACACCGAGACTGAAGTGAGCTTCCCTGGTTGGCAACAATTTGCACGGTGTCAAACATCATTACTCAGAGCATTAAACACTGTCTGTGAGACTAGTAGAGGACAGCTGAAAGCTTATGCCTGGTTTCTCCTGGGCTTTGCCTTATGTGCCTTTTCCCTTTGCTAATTCGAATCTGTATCCTTTCACTATAATAAACCATAACCATAAGTTTAACAGAGTCCTATGACTCCTAGTGAATTACTGAACCTGAGGGTGGTCTTGGGCACTCTTGACATAGTTCAAATCATTCACATGGAGCTAGCCAAATTGTCATAACCACTACAGCAATTAGGCCACATGTCTCTCAGCAGCCAAAACAAAAGTTCATTCGAACAAACATTTAATGAATGCTTATCATTTGCTAAGTGCTAGGAAAGTACAAAGACTCGAAGATAAATACGTTCATGCGTTGAGCTACAGCCTTGGCATAGGTCTCTCCAGCCTTCAAAATATAAGTGGGACCTCATGTACCTAGGAGGTATTGTTTTCTTTCTCGTTGCTTCCAGTTTGTCTCACCGAACACATCATTCTGTGTCAGGCCGTGCTTAAAAGGAATTCTTTTTGTTTGCAAGGTAATGACTTTTTGAGGGGTTTTGTCTTAATTTTTGAAATGTTTATTTTTAAAAGTCAGGTCTATTGAGGCATAATTTATATATAGTAAAATTCACCCTTTATAAGTATATAATTCTGTGAGTTTTGGCAAATGTATACAATCATGTAATCACCACCATATCAAGATACAGAACATTTCTGTCACCCTGAAAAATTTCCTCATGTTCCTTTATAGTCAAGTCTCCTCTCCTCACCCACAGTCCCTGGCAACCATTGATGTTTCCTGTCCCTATAGTTTTGCCTTTTCTAGAATGTCATATAAGTGGAATCATATGGTATGTACTCCTTTGTGTTTGCCTTTTTTTTTTTTCAACTGACCACAGTGCTTTTGAGATTCATCCATGTTGTTGCATGTATCACTTGTTTGTTCCTTTCCATTGCTGGGTAGCTTTCCATTATGTGGATGGGCCACAATTTGTTTATCCATGCACCAGTTGTTAGACTTTTGGATTGTTTCTAGTTTAGGGCTACTTTGAATTAGGCTACTATGAGCATTCACATTCGGGTGTTTGTATGGATATGCTTTCATTTCTCTTGGATAAATACCTAAAAATAGGATTGCTATGTCAAATGGACGAGTATGTTTATAAGAGATTGCCTATTGTTTTTCCAAATGGCTTTACCATTTTGTATTTCTACCAGCAATGTATGAGATTTCCAATTGTTACTCATGCTCATCACCACTTAGTATTATCGATCTTTTCTTTTTCTTTTTCTTTTTTTTTTTTCCAAGACAGAGTCTCACTCTGTCGCCCAGGCTGGAGTGCAGTGGTGAGCTCAGCTCACTGCAACCTCTGCCTCCCGGGTTTAAGCAACTCTCCTGCCTCAGCCTCCCAAGTGGCTGGGATTACAGGCATGTGCTACCACACCTGGCTAATTTTTGTATTGTTAGTAGAGATGGGGTTTCACCATGTTGTCCAGGCTGGTCTCGAACTCCTGGCCTCAGGTGACCCGCCCACCTTAGCCTCCCAAAGTGCTGGGATTACAGGCATGAGCCACCACGCCTGGCCTTTGTTTCGTTTTTTGTTTGTTTGTTTGTTTTTGAGACACAGTTTCACTCTGTCACCCAGGCTGGAGTGTAGTGTTGCAATCTCAGCTTAATGCAAACTCCACCTCCTGGGTTCAAGTGATTCTTGTGCCTCAGCCTCTCGAGTAGCTGAGATTACAGGAGTGTACCACCATGCCCGGCTAATTTTTGTATTATTAGTAGAGACGGGGCTTCACCATGTTTGCCGGGTTGGTCTCAAACTCCTGAGCTCAAGTGATCCACCCATCTCGGCCTCCCAAAGTGCTGGGATTACAGGTGTGAGCCACTGCACCTGGCCAGCAGTTTCTTATAAAGCCAACTATAGGACCCAGCAATTCCACATCCAGGAATATGCTCAAGAAAAATTAGTTTATATGTCCACCAAAAGTCTTATACAAGAATATTCATAGCCACTTAATTACTAATAGCCAAAAACTTGACAAAATCCAAATATCCATCAAGAAAAACATAGAACAGTTTGTGATATAATCAGAGAATGGAATATCACCAGCAATAATAAAAGTAAAAAAATGTTGTAATATGCAGAACAGCATGGATGAATCTCAAAAACTTTATGCTGAGATTAAAAAAAAAAAAGCCAAACAAAAAAGTATATGATTCCATTCATATGACATTCAAAATCAAGCAAAACTAATCTATGGTGGTAGAAATCAGAATAATGGTTACCTCCGGAGGACTAGGTATTGATTCAATAAGGTGCAAGGGTCCTTCCAGGGTGAAGGAAATGGTCTGTATGTTGAAGTGGGTGAAGGTTTCATGGTGTATACATACGTAAAAATTAATTGAGTTGTACATTTAAGACTTGTGCATTTTACTGTATATAAATTATACCTCACTTTTAAAACACTTTTAATAAAAAAAATTACTATGGACCCCTAAAAATCCTGTGTTTATTTAACAGCTATCACATTTTATCATATTAGCAAGGCACAGTGGCTCAAACCTCTAATCCCAGCACTTTGGAAGGCTGAAGCAGGAGGATCACTTGAGCGCAGGAATTCCAGACCAGCCTATCAACATAGTGAAAGCCCATCTCTACAAAAAATGTAAAAATTAGCTAAGCACGAAGGTGTGTGCCTATACTCCCAGCTGGTCACAAGGCTGAGGCAGGAGAATCACTTGAGCCCAGGGGTTTGAGACTGCAGTGAGTTCTGATCACACCACTGCACTTTAGCCTGAGTGACAGAGTAAGACCCTGTTTAAAAAAAAAAAAAAAATTACCATATTATAAATTGAAATGGACAAACTTTATTTTTATTTTATTTTATTTTTTTGAGATAGAGTCTTGCTCTTTCACCCAGGCTGGAGTGCAGTGGCGCGATCTCAGCTCACTGCAATCTCCGCCTCCTAGTCTCAAGCAATTCTCCTGCCTCAGCCTCCCAAGTAGCTGGGATTACAGGCGTGTGGCACCACACCTGGCTGATTTTTGCATTTTTAGTAGAGACAGGGTTTTGCATGTTGGCCAGGCTGGTCTTGAACTCCTGACCTCAAGTAATCCACTCACCTTGGCCTCCCAACGTGCTGGGATTACAGGTGTGAGCCACCACACCCAGCCCAAAATAGAGAAACTTTAAAATATTTAACTCATTTAGAAATAACACTAATAAACTCATTACACATTAACATAACATTTAAATGAAAAATAACTACATTGTCTAAAACAAAACGATAATGGGAAGAATGTCATTGTTTTACATCTTTGTAAATTTCTTTAATGTCTGGCTCAAAAGAAGACAGCTGGATTCTTAAATCAACTTCTGCATTTAATTTTTTAAGCTCTCACATGTCACTCAGTGTTTGGAAACTCCACTGTATACTTGAAAGAGAAAGCAAATGAAAAGACAAATAACGGGTTATTATTATTATTATTATTTTCCTTTTTTTTTTTTGAGATGGAGTCTCGCTCTGTCACCCAGGCTGGAGTGCAGTGGCACAATCTCAGCTCACTACAAGCTGTCCTCCCAGGTTCAAGTTATTCTCCTGCCTCAGCCTCCCTAGTAGCTGGAACTACAGGCGCCCGCCACCACGCCTGGCTAATTTTCATGTTTTGAGTAGAGATGAGGTGTCACCATGTTGATCAGGCTGGTCTCGAACTCCTGACCTCAAGTGATCCTCCCATCTCAGCCTCCCAAAGTGATGGGATTACAAGAGTGAGCTACCGCACCCGGCCTATTATTATTATTAAAATAATTTAGACCTCATGACCATCTGAATGAGTCTCAGAGCCTGTAGGGTCCCTCCTCACCACACATTGGGAACTGCTGCTCTGATCTGCCCCCCTGCAGGCTACTTTTTTTGCATTTTTCTAGAAAAGAAATAAAATACCCACACGTAGAATGGGGTTCATGTTAGCTACTATTTTTTATACCGCTTCCTAGTACCTTTCTCATTTGCCACAGTTCTACCTCTGCCTCCCCTATATTTTCCAGGTTCAACAGCTTTGGAGAGCAGGACATCTTTTCCTCTCAGCCTGGCCCTCTGCAATGGAGGCCATAAATAGGCCAGTAGTGGAAGCTACAGAACACGTGAGCATGGCAGGGGCTGAGCTCCATTTCAAGGTAACCTCCATCACTCTCTACTCTCTTACATATAATATCACCATAATTTGCTGTTGGAATTAGTCTTTGCCTTGACAAATGTATTCACATATGTATCTTGCATCCAATTTTTTTTTATTTTTGAGACAGGGTCTTGCTCTGTCGCCCAAGCTGTAGTGCAGTGGCGCAATCTCAGCTCACTGCAACCTCCACCTTCCAGGTTCAAGCAATTCTCCTGCCTCAGCTTCCCCAGTAGCTGGGATTACAGGCGTGCACCACTCTGCCTGGCTAATTTTTATATTTTTTGTAGAGACAGGGTTTCACCATATTGGCCAAGATAGTCTTGAACTCCTGACCTCAGGTGATCCGCCCTCCTCAGCCTCCCAAAGTGCTAGGATTACAGGCGTGAGCCACTGTGACCGGCCCCTGCATCCAATTATAAAGTATGACTGTCACTACAGAAAGTTCTCTGTTTCTTTTTTTTTTTTTTTTTTTGAGACGGAGTCTTGCTCTGTTGCCCAGGCTGGAGCGCAGTGGCGAGATCTCAGCTCACTGCAAGCTCCGCCTCTTGGGTTCATGTCATTCTCCTGCCTCAGCCTCCCGAGTAGCTGGGACTACAGGCGCCCGCCACCACACCCAGCTAATTTTTTGTATTTTTAGTAGAGACAGGGTTTCACCGTGTTAGCCAGGATGGTCTCAATCTCCTGACTCCGTGATCCGCCCGCCTCAGCCTCCCAAAGTGCTGGGATTACAGGCATGAGCCATCGCACCCGGCTGTTTCTTTTCAATCAAGCTCTGTCCCCACCACACCACCAGAGGCAGTGTGGTAGAATAATAATAATACATTAATAAAAATTAATCCCAGAATATTTTAACTAATCCCCAATGAAATTCTTTGTAAATTTATTTGGGACCAGGCATGGTGGCTCAGGTCTGTAATCCCAGCACTTTGGGAGGCCAAGGCAGGAGGATTGCTTGAACCCAGGAGTTCAAGACCAGGCTGGGCAACATGGCAACTCCCCATCTCTACCAAAACAAATTTTTTAATTAGCCAGGTGTGGTGGTGTGCACCTGTAGCTGTGGTGCCAGCTACTAGGGAAGCTGAGGCAGGAAGATCACTTGAGCCCAGGGAGTCAAGGCTGTGGTGAGCCATGTTCATGCCACTGCACTCAAGCCTAGGTGACAAAGTGAGACCCTGTCTCAAAAAAAAAAAATTATTTGGGAAATCTCTGGATTTCTTAGGTATACTGTTCTTGGTTACAGACTCTATAGAAGTCACAAAAATTTTCCAGTCTTTTCTTAGATAATAATAGATATTTTGGTTTTTTTCTTCAAGTTATTCTAAATTATGAAACAGGAGGACTGCTCTTCAAACAGTAGAACAGGTATTCAACAAAAGTTTTTTATTTCCATACTATTGAATTGCTTGGATCTAAGGAAGAATATATTTAATGGGCAAAAGTCTCAAAAGAGAAAGCAGGTCACTATTGCTCTTTCCCATTTATCAATGGTGCAGCTCGGCAAAGCTCACATCGTATTGTGCAAGGTGAAAAGAACCCTCTCAGGGTTCCAAGTTGCAGGATATGATTAAAGCCTAGTGACAATAAACCAAGCTGACCTCAGGGCCTGTTTCCCAGACAGTCCTTTTCAACATTAGTACTCAAGGCAGATCAGAACCTTTCAGAGCTAGGGGAAATACATCCTGCAGTGCTTAATTGTACACCCCTTGAGGCCTGCAGATAAACTCCCTTATCAAAAGAAGGCTTGAGTCCCCAACAAGTATTGAGTGGCTCCATTATTTCTTCCTCTGTCCCACGAAAATGGTTTTTCAGTGCAGAGGATAATTCTGCACACATTTATCAGTCCTGGCATGGACCTAGCCCGGTGGAGCACATGTGGATGAAACACGTGATGTCCAATTTCAAGGGATTTACAGTATATGTAGTTCTTTGCTTTGTGGGGAGTGCCAGGTAGATAATGACTCCAACTAAGAGGTCAGGCAGGGTGGGGAGGGGACTTGTGGAAGACAGAAGATGTGAACCAAGTCTTGAAAGATGGGTAAGATTTTTGACAAACATGGATGAGAATAAAGAGCCAACCATTTTTTAATACCGCAGCCCAAGTGATCTTTCTGAAGCACACATCTAATTATTCCATTTCCCTCTTTAAAGCCATTGGGGATGAGAAATATCAACACCCACTTTGTTTTGTGAGATAATGGTGCCCAGCATACAGTGAGTAAGGAAACTGAGGCTCAGGGTGGGGCCACGTTGTCTCCAAAGCCAGCTAGTTAATGGCAGAATCATACTAGAACTCAGGGCCCCTGGGGTCACTGCTCTCCAGCACCTCAACAGCCATTCTTGGCTGAACTCACTGAGCAAAATCAAGGTGCCAGCAGGACTGTGTTCCTTTCTGGAGGCCCTTGGAGATAATCCATTTTCTTGCCTTTTCCAGCTTCTAGAGGCTGCCCACCTTCTTTGGCTTATGATTCCTTCTTTCCTCTTTAATGGCTGGTTGAGTCCTTTACACATCACATCACTCTGACACTAACCCTTCTGCTCTCCTCTTAGGCTTGTAAGGACCCTTGTGATGACATTGGTCCTACCCAGACTACCTAGGATAATCTCCCATCTCAAAGTCCTCATCTTAATCCCATCTGCAAGGTCCCTTTTGCAATTTAAGATAACATATTCAACAGGTTCCGGGAATGAGAACATGGATGTCTTTGGAGAGCCATTATTCTGCCTACCACAGATATAACCTGGCTGTTACCACCAAGGGTTGGAATGAGGATCATTCTGGGACTGCTGCAAGAGGCTGGAAACTGGAACCAAGTGCTACCTTCATGGTAAGAAGCCAATGCTGGAACAACACTGACTGAAGCATCAAGCAAAACAGGAAGGAGCAACTCCTTCTACCCTCCTCCTGGCTTCGAGTCTCTCTCTAGCTCCCCTTGTTGGCGGGACCTATCAGAAGGCCAGCTGGCTAAGGAGGACTATAGTTTCAGTTTCAGTTCCAGCATCCCAGACCTGAATATAGAAGGGCAGGTTGGAAGCCGAGAGACAGTAGCTTAGTAACTGACAAAGATGCCACTAAAAAATTCAGTTTAAACAAGTGACAGCCTGGGATTATATTACATTTAATAAAAAGTTCAAAGCTCCAATATATAATGGCTTTTATAAACCAGTAAGAAAAAGCAACCCAATAAAAGTGGGCAGATAAGAATGAAAAATTCACGGGTACTGTCCCGTCCTGTCCGGTCCCATCCCGCCGCCGTGTCTGCCAGCCATGAGCTCCACGCAGTTCAACAAGGGCCCCTCATATGGGCTGTGGGCTGAGGTCAAGAACCAGCTTCTGTCCAAATATGACCCCCAGAAGGAGGCAGAGCTCCACAGCTGGATCAAGGGACTCACAGGACTCTTCATCGGTCCCGACTTCCAGAAGGGCCTGAAGGACGGGATTATCTTATGCGCACTCATGAACAAGCTACAGCCAGGCTCAGTCCCCAAGATCAATCACTCCATGCAGAACTGGCACCAGCTAGAAAACCTCTCCAACTTCATCAAGGCCATGGTCAGCTACGGATGAACCCCATGGACCTGTTCGAGGCCAACGACCTGTTTGAGAGTAGAAGTATGACACAGCTGCAGGTGTCTCTTCTCGCCCTGGTGAGGAAGGCCAAGACTAAGGAGCTGCAGAGCAGGGTGGACACTGGCATCAAGTACTTGGAGAAGCAGGAGTGGAACTGTGACAACCCCCCTTGAAGGCTGGCCAGTGCATCCTCGGGCTGCAGATGGGCACCAACAAATGCGCCAGCCAGTCAGGGATGACCGCATACGGCATGAGGAGGCATTTCTACGACCCCAACAACTACATCCTGCCCCCCATGGACCACTCCATCATCAGTGTCCAGATGCGTATAAACAAGTGTGTCAGCCAGGTGGCCATGACGGCTCCTGGGACGCAGCGGCACATCTCTGACACCAAGCTGGGAACCGACAAGTGTGGTAACTCCTCCATATCCCTGCAGATGGGTTAGACATAGGACACCAACCAGAGTAGCCAGGTCTTGGCCTGGGCCAGCAGATATACGACCCCAAGTACTGCCCGCAAGGCACAGTGGGGGCTCCCTCAGGCGCCGGCGACTGCCTGGGCCCCGGGGAGGTCCCTGAATATCCCCCTTACTACCAGGAGGAAGCTGACTATGAAGTCTGCCAGCATGCTCTCTCCCCACATCATCTCCCCGTCTGGGTTTTTGGGTTTTTCTGTGTTTTCATGTCTTTTTCCTCTTAACCTGTTCAGTGCTGCCAATCAACCGAGGGTCTGTGAGTGGCAGCATGGGATCAGGCAGCAGGGCTTCTTTCCCCTTTGCCTTGGTCCTTCGCAGGACTGAGCCACCAGGCTGTGGGGGAAGGAGTCAAGGCCATATCCCGCTAAGTGTAGGGTGAGGGTCCCTGTTGGCATGTCCAGGCTGTGGGCCAAGCTGTGCTGGGGAGAAGAGACCTGGGCTTGGAGGGAACTGGTCCCCGAAGGTTTCCAGTTGCCTCTCCTTTTCTCCCTTTTGTCAGCTGATCAGTTTGTGGTTTCTGTACCTGCTAAAGCTTCAGGAAGTATTAACAAAAGAAAAATACATTTTTTTTTTTTCCGAGGAATGGGGCAGGGACAGTGGAGAGGGTGCTGGGAAATAAGTCCCTTGGGAAAGGGGGCCTGGCCACGATACTAAATATCTCAGGCTCCCAAGTGGCTGGATTTCCCTAGGACCCTCAGACCAACAGACCTCAGACCCTCAGACCTGCCCCAGGGCTCGGTGGGGAAAGTGAGGCCTGTACAAGGAAGTGGAATTCTGAGTTGTTAGGGCTAAGCCTGACCCCCTCTCTATGCTAACTCCCCACACTGTGACCTCAGTAGGTTTTGTTGTTGTTGTTGCCCAGCCTGGAGTGCAGTGGCGTGCTCACAGCACCTCCACCTCCTGGGCTCAAGGGATTCTCCTGCCTCAGCCTCCCAAGTAGCTGGGACTGCAGGTGCTCCACCACACCTGGCTAAATTTTGTATTTTTAGTAGAGACAGGGTTTCACCATGTTGGCCAGGCTGGTCTCAAACTCCTGGCCTCAGGTGATCTGCCTGCTGCAGCCTCCCCAAGTGCTGGGAATACAGGCATGAGCCACTGCGCCTGACCTCTCAGTAGGTTTTAAAGAGCCCCCAGCCCTCCTTCTCCCTTTCTTGGCCTGACCAGCTATACTGCTCCATCTCCCCTGGCCACATGCCCCACCAAGTACTGCACAGGGACCCACACCCAGGGGCCCTGCTCCATGAGATAATGTGAAATACGACTGTGGACCAAATGCAATAAAACATCTGTTTGTAAGAAGAGAAAAAAAAGAAAAAAGAAAAATTCACAATGGCCAATAAACATATGAAAATATTCTTAATCCCATTAGTGAGCAGGGAAATGCCTTAGGGCCTAGACGCAGGAGAAGGAGGTCATTCTTTTTGTTTAGAAGATAATCCCGATCCTTCATTTTGGCACAGCTGAAACACAAATTGGCACACCAAGAATTAATGGATCAATGAAGAGCAAGAGTTCTCCAGGTAGGAAATAAGAAGACTGGAACATGAGCATACAAACCATGCTAAAGGAAGAGCCTTCTTGGGCAATGTCTATATATGTGGAATTAAATCTTCAGAAGAACAGTCCATGCAGTGTCTGCTCATTGCAGAGCTCTCAGTTCAGAAACAATAGCCACTTTCGAGAGCACTACTGGAGAGGTAGCTCAGCCCACTCTTGAGAACCCCAGGCCAGTCCCATTTCCCACAAGCCAGCTGTAATAAGGAGTAAATCTGGGGTGTGGGGTATTGAGTAGGGCACAGGGCCAGGAAAAACAAGTTAGAGAGTCTCTAGGCACCGGTGAGTCATGTTGATCATATGATAGATCAATTCAAATGAGGTAATAAATGACTAAAGTGCACTTCTAGGCTAGCACATAGTTGTGGCAAGAGGAGTTTGTCTTCTTTTTTCTTATTCCCAAACCAGCACGATTTGTCTTCAGTGACCCTTACAGCATTCTTTGTGCTGACAATGAGTGGGTCAGCTTGGTCTTTTCTGGAGGATAGACGAAGAGCTAAAAGTATCCAAAAGAAACCAGATAACAAAAACCTGAAGCCTGAAGACATTTTTCTTGTGTGTCAAAGTCCTAATTTTAGACCCAGTTGAAGGCTCATTATCCAACATATTACAGTATGGAATTGTACCTCTGCTGCATCTAGAAGGAACTGTCCATCACCAGAAAGAAAACAGCCTGCTCAGTCGATCTTCAACATTCATGGATTCCGGTGATGGCAAAAGTGATTCCTGACTTTCACAGTCAGTTGCTTTTTGATCTCTCTTTCGAGTCACCCTCAGAGGATACCTGGGTACCCATTTCTCTTCCTGGTTACTCTCCTCTTTCTCCATCCACTACCCACCCCACCCCTGCCCTGAGTCCTCGTTCCAGTCTTGACTGTAGTAACAGTCCTGGGCCTTCTCCTAAATACAGCATAAACCAGACCAACAAACCTTTCTCTTGAGGGTTCTGATAGTCCCCAGCCATCCTTCCATGACTTATGCTAAGCAGCTCTCTCTCTCTCTGGGTAAAAAGGGCAAGGAACAAAAGGATTCTGTGAAACAGGAAATCCTTTTCTTCCACAAAGTCAAACCAGATATTAGACTTTTGGGTTGGACATAAGTTTATTTGCATGTTTGTCTGCTGCTATGCTTTTATGCTTCAGAAGCTAGGCTGAGATTACAGGTTGAATGTCCCTTATCCAAAATGCTGGGACCAGAAGTGTTTTGGATTTTTTATTTTTTCGGATTTTGGAATATTTGCATTATCCTTAATAGTTCAGCATCCCTAATCTGAAAATCTGAAATCCAAAATGCTCCAGTGAACATTTCCTTTGAGCATGTCAGTTCTCAAAACGTTTCAGATTCTGGATTGGGGATGCCGAACCTGCAATAAATTGCTCCTCCCTTCGTCTCCCCACGGGTTCTATATTGTATTTAAGCTGCCCTCCCTCCCTTCCTGTAACTGTGAGTGCCAAAGCAACTCAGATGTGCCTCCACTCTAAGCTATAAAGAAATAATTAGCCACAGTTAATGGCCCATAATTTGTTATTTCTGTATCCTGTTCCTCAGGGTTCCCTCCTAAATTATTATCAGGAAGAAACATAAAACTACACATAAAACTGTATTTCATAGAAACAAAAAAAATTGAGCTCCTTTTTTTGCTTTGTCTCCCTGTGATTTGAAGAAGTTGGACTTCCTAGATGGAAATGAGGTTCACTGCCACGGATGGGAAAGGCTGCCGCACGTTGGTTTGCCTCATTATGTTGCAGACATACATACAGGACCGACTATATAATTTGTGGGAGGGACCTAGTGAAAAATGAAAGTGTGGGGTCCTTTGTTTAATGTTAGTAATTTCAAGACTGCAACAGAGGAGCATTAAACGGAAGGTGGGCCCTTCTGAGTGTGGGGTCGTGTGTAACTGCAGAGGCTGCACACCTATGAAGCCAGCTCTGCACACAGAGAATGGTCTCAGGACTAGAAAGACCAAGGGAACTCCACCCTGAGAAGGTCAGGAGAAAGCACGGGTGAGGTGGTGAATGGTGTGGCCAAGGACAGTGTCGTCTAGGTGGTTCTCTGAAATGCAATCTGCTTGGCACTGGATATTGGAGGGCCCAAGGATCAGAGGTACACGTATACATGAGGACGCTGGAAGGAAGCAGGGCGAAGGGTGTGAGAATGCTGAGATTGAAGGAGGGGTGGCACAGAGCGGGAGTTCTAGGCATGGAATCATCTTGTTTTGTTTTCAATCAACCCATTTCTTTCTTTTTTTTTTTTTTAACTGAAGTAGAATGTATCAAATTTAGATGAATGACCTTTTTCCCTCCAAATCTGCTCTTCCCGTTTCTTCATCTTGGTGAATGTGAATCAGTCCTCCTAGTTGATCAAGGCCGAAGCTGCGAGTTGTCTCTGACTGATCCCCCCCTAAGTCCATAGAACATCAATTCTATCATTAGTACCTCTCTTGAGCCCACACATCTACTTGTTCCATAACCAGTGAAACCACCGTCATTCCTGACCATGACTGTGGTAGCAGCCTCCTTGCTTACAGCTTCTGAATCATCTAGACTGGAGTTTTAAGTCCTCATTCTGCCACAAGTTAGCTGAGTGAGCTTGGGCTGGGCTCTTTAACCCCTCTGTGCCTCAGTTTCCACATCTGTAAAATGGGAATAATAATACCTATCATAAAGCATGGTTGTCAGGGCTAAAGGAAATGAAGACGTGGCTGAGTGTCTTCCCTCTTGTTCCCTCTCCATCCCTCAGGCCTTCAGTGAAACATTCCTTCCCTTGTCTGACTTGCTCAGTGCAGGTTCCCACAGGCTGCCAACCTGCTCTGCAGCCCTCATCACACTTCCCTGTCTTCTCTCAGCACTCCTCTCCATAAGGACAAGGATCCTGGTTTCCATGGCCAATGTCCATCTGACACGGAGTAAGAGTTCACCTTGCTATGTGACTGATATTCTCACATAGAATCAAACATTCCCAGGCATGACTCCCTGTAAGCTTTCCCCTAACTGTAAGTGAGCAGGTGACCATGTGACAGAAACAAATGACGAAGACCAAGACTATCCCACCAGATATTAAATTAAACCTGGGGCACTGGAATGGCTCATTAGAGCAGATCCCTCTGTAAGAAACAGACCTAGGTCAGGTAAGGCCACCCAAGGAAGCCAGGAAACTGGGTGCTCCAGGTCAACACAGCCAAACTCCGCAGAGAACACAGTGGGGCTGGGGCTGGGATGTGACAACCTGGGACAGGGAGACACCCCAGAGGAAGGAATAAAGGTGGGACCTCTGAGTGGTGGGCCATCCCTTTGTCCTCAGGCCCTGGAAGCTCCCCATCCAATGCTCCCCACTGAGGCCAACAGGGTAAGAGGTGTGCACACTAGGGGGCTTGTGCCCTGAGCCGGTCAAGGCAGAGTGGGGGGATGGGGTGCTAGGGTTTTTTTTTTTTCTTCATGAAATAACATATATGTAGGAAAGCACAGCAAACATATCTGTAGGGGTTGCTGAATTATAAACCCACTACTCCAATCAAGACCTGGAGATCCCTAGCACTCTAGATCCTCCCCAACCTGTTCTCTACATCCTCCTAGAGACCACCGGGACCTCGGCTTTTGTAGTTACCATGTTCTCGCACCCCCAAAGAATAGTTTTGTTTTGCCTGGTTTTGAACTTCTCAAAAATGGAATCATACTGCATATATTTTATTCTTTTTTCCACTCAATATTCTGTGAGATTTGTCCATGTGGCTGTATGTAACGACTTTGATTCGTTGCCATGTTATGTTTGTGGCTAACTTTCACAAGTTCCTTATTCCTTGCCCTGTGGTTGGACAGTTGTGCTGTTTCTGGCTTGTGCATTTTCCACGACTTAGTGTGAGACTTCTTCTGGATGGCTTGCAGGGGAGTGGGAGTCTGGGCTGGAAGGGAAGGTGAGGGAAGCAACAGAAGCAGCCCTGGGCATGGGGGGCGCAGAAGGTGGGAGGGATCTGTGGGTCAAGCAGGACTACTGAAGTGCAGAGCAGGGTTGAGGGTACCACAGAGGAAAGGGCCTCCACGTGTGCTCCTACTCTGAGACTGGACGGGAACACTCCCCGCAAGGCCATAATCGGGGGGTTTAGTAGGTATGGGCACAGCAAGAGAGGCCAGACAAGGCAGCTTATTGCACAATGCTGCCCTTGGGGCTCAGAGGAAATACTAGAAATTGACCAGAGAGTCAACCTCTGGTGCCGCTCCTTTCCTAGGATGGGCATCCATCAAGAGGTTTGTATTTGGGAAGTTCAGGGATCACTGGCTGCACATCCAGACACTGGCCCACATGGAGGTAAGGCGGCTGAAGCCCTGAAGGAAGGGGCTCTGCACTGCTGACCACTTGCCTAGACCTCGCCTGTGCTGGAAGCAAGGCCACCCATGGAGCCCATCTCTCGGAGACTTCAGCAGCCCAGGGCAGAGCTTCCTATCCTTGCCAGAAAACCTGTCCCTGGCATCACCCCAACCCCGGTATTTCTTGTTGGGGACTGTCCTGGCTGGAGATGGCCTAGAGTCCTTCCCACACCCTGAGAGACCTGACATATTTCCCTATTCTCTTGGGTTTGGCAGATATGGGTAAGAGGAGGGATGCTGTTGCCTTGGAGCTGCCAGGCTGCATGGCAGACAAGCAGGATTCCTGCTGCCTCCCATGGAGACTATACTGGAACGCAGGTAAGGTGCTGGGAATCAGTCACAGATGTTCAAGTGCAAGCTTTGGCAGAACCATTCTTTCCACTGTAGATCAGCCAGACTTTGTAAAACATGATCTATTTCCTCACTGGATCCTCAACAGTCCCATGGGCAGACTGGACAAATATCCCCATAGGTGAGAAATTAAAGCAGAGTAGAGTGGTCAACCCCCTACCCTGTAAGTGACTGGGGGCTAGAATACAGGTCTCACAACACTGGGTCAGGGCTTTGTCTGCTGTGCACAAGCAGGCACTTGCCTAGGCAGATACTGAGCTCTAGCTTCATCATTTCATGTTTGATTTTCTATAGTGTAATCAATCATAGGATCATTAGCCCCCCTGGTGTCTGCTGCAAATTTATCTTAAATGCCAATTTGTCCCTGCATTAGAAGGGAAGCTGTTTAGTTGAGGGAGCTCTTCCTGAGAAACGGTGAATTTTATGTTATTTTTTATTTTTTTGAGACAGAGTTTTACTCTTGTTGCCCAGGTTGGAGTGCAATGGTGCAATCTCTGCTCACTACAACCTCCGCTTCCCAGGTTCAAGCAATTCTCCCGCCTCAGCCGCCCAAGTAGCTGGGACTACAGGTGCCTGCCACCATGCCCGGCTAATTTTTGTATTTTTAGTAGGGATGGGGTTTCACCATGTTGGTCAGGCTGGTCTTGAACTCCTGACCCCAGGTGATCCACCCACCTCAGCCTCCCAAAATGCTGGGATTATAGGCATGAGCCACCATGCCCGGCTGAAACAGTTAATTTTAGTGAGCAGCTGATTCCTTTTTTTTTTTTTTTTTTTTTGAGACAGAGTCTTGCTCTGTCGCCCAGGCTGGAGTGCAGTGGCTCGATCTCGGCTCACAGCAAGCTCCGCCCCACGGGTTCACACCTTTCTCCTGCCTCAGCCTTCCGAGTAGCTGGGACTACAGGCGCCCGCCACCACGCCCGGCTAATGTTTTGTATTTTAGTAGAGACGGGGTTTCACCATGTCAGCCAGGATGGTCTCGATCTCCTGACCTCATGATCTGCCTGCCTCGGCCTCCCAAAGTGCTGGGATTACAGGCATGAGCCACCGCGCCCGGCCCCTGATTGATTCTTGCATTGGTGATTGCTTCATGCATGACTTACTGAGTTTTGGAAAGAAACAGTCCTGTGTAAAGCCAATGAAACAGCACTAGTACTTTAACATTCAGTGTTCTTTGGAGTTGCTCTTGAACCCTTCTCTGCCCTGGTTTAGGCCTTTTTCATGCAGGTGGCCTCTTACTGCTCTTTCCACCTCATCTTGCCTCGCCTCCCAGCACCCACTTCCATTCATCCTGGGCCCAGGAGAGACTGGGTAGCGCAGCGGTTGAGAGCGTGATTTCAGGAGGCAGAGGGGCCAGATTCAAACCATGGCTCAGCTGCTTCAACTTTCTGGGTGACCTTGGGCAAGGGGCTTAACAGCTCTACTGGCTCAGTCATCTTAGTTTCAAATGAGGCTGTCACAGTACCTCACCAGGTTAATAGGAGAATTAAATGTGTTACTCATGGAAAGTATTTGGACAGTGCCTAGCCCATAACAAATATTAACTATTATCATCTTGTTCCATTCTCTGTTCAGAAACCTCAAATACCTATAGAATTGGGACCAGTGTTTGGCCTGACATAGGAGACTTTTTTGGCCTAAGCTTTTAACAAATATTTCCTGCCTTTCCTGTTCGCTAACCCATGCCCTCTGGCTCAGATCCTGAAACCCGCCCACTTGCCTTGGCTCACCTTGACGTCATCATATTGCCATGTGTTGATGTCACTGCTATCCCCCAAGGGGCAGGCTCCCTGCTCAGATGTACATGTACTCTCTTCTTCCTCTGAGCTATAACTCCAACTAGTCAGTATCCAAGTTCCTGTAGCCACTAGTTGTGGAGAAAGCTAAAGTCATCAGACATGAAGAGTATTCTCTACACAACTCAACCACTTAGAAAAATCACTCTCCACTTAAACATCTCTTCCTCCTTAACATACTCTCCATCCACCATAGCCCAACTTCCCTGTTACGGATTGTGAGATGTTGAAAATACAACAAAACAGGCACCAAAGTACAATTTAAGTTTTGTAAAATATGCAGAATTTCACATAGTTGGTGAATGTGTTGGCAAACTGCTCAGATGAGTGTAGCCATTGGAAATAAGGATCGCAGAGAGTAGGTCCATTAACAAATGAAGGGGAAGGTGACATGTCTAACCAATTAGGTGTTTCCTAGGGGGATGATGTGAATATCAAAGACTAAAGGATTTAAGAGGGAAATTGAGGAAGCCCTTGACTAACTTTTCCTAAAATGATCCTGTGATTGATTACACTAGAAAATCAAACATGAAATAATGTCCTATTGTGCAATCATATAATTTGGGGAGGGAAATACACCTAAAATATTATTTTTAAGAATTAGCCTGGTCGGGAGTGGTGGCTCACGCCTGTAATCCCAGCACTTTGGGAGGTCAAGGCAGGTGGATCACTTAAGGTCAGAAGTTTGAGACCAGCCAAGCCAACATGGCAAAACCCCACCTCTACTAAAACTACAAAAATTAGCTGGGTGTACTGGTGCATGCCTATAATCCCTGCTACTCAGGAAGCTGAGGCACGAGAATCTCTTGAACCCAGGAGGCGGAGGTTGTAGTGAGCCAAGATCGTGCCACTGCACTCCAGCCTGGGCAACAGAGCGAGACTGACCCTCTCTCAATAACGACAACAACAACAAAGAATTAGCCTATAGTTGCAATTACCTTTTGTTAAAACATACTTTTAAACAAAACAGTGGGAGATACTGGTTAAAGGATAAATTTCAGTTAAATAGGATTAGGTTAAAGAGCTCTATTGCACCACAAGGTGACTTAGTTAATAACAATGCATTGTATTCTTGAAAATCTCTAAGAGGGTAGATTTTAAGTGTCTCTCATCACAAAAAAATAAGTATGTGAGGTAACGCATATGTTAATTAGATCGATTTAAACCATTACACAATGTATACATATTTCAAAACATACTGTATATTATATATAATTTTGTCGATTCAAAAAAGATACTTATTTCAATAATAGTTTCATTTTACAAGATTAAATTCGGATCAAACCTTTTTCACTATGTGCTGTATGAAACACTGGTCTCCATTTTCAATGGGTTGCCTCTAAGAGGCTTTTTCAGGTCCTGTTCTTTTTGGATGAGGGTATGAATATATTTATCTGCCTGATCATCTTCCCTAACAGGCAGCATATTCTTGAGAGCAAACAGTGCCTGAGACAGAAGTCCCATGTCATCTCATGGAATGGTAGGGGTGGGGACATGTGTGAGTCACCAGTGAAGCCTGCACAGAGACTTAGCCTTCAATGACTTACTACATGAAGGCGCCACAGAGCATATCCAGAGCTGTCAGAAGCCAAGACTCTCTGTGCATGCATTGGTTAGGGTCCTCAGCAATGAGGGGTGACAGAGTACCGAGGCAGAACAGGGCAGAGGGTTCCTGAACAGACAGCCAGGCCCTTGTTCTCAGCTTGATCTGGGCTTTTCAGGCATCAGCAGGGCCCTCTGAGGGCATGAGGTGCCTTGGAGGGCAGCAGGGTGACCCGGAAGACATGTGACTGGCAAGGGTGTTCTGGTAGGCCCAGGTAAGGAGAGGCAGAGCCCCTCTGCCCTTGCCTAGGGCAGCACACAGAAACCATGCCCAGTGGCTTTGGGTGCTCTAGCTCATTCCTGTCCAACCAGGGTCAAAGCTTCCTACGACGGAGTGTCATAAATAGACTGACGATGGGGCTTCCCCCAGTCCCAGGAAGGGTTGGTGGGGTGTCGGAATTCAATTACAATATGAAAATAAGAGGTGAACTTCCTACTTGGGGTTGAAGGATAGGAGGGCAAACTTGGCATCGGCGTTCACCCCTGCACTAGGTGCTGACTGCATCCTGCAACAGAGGATAAAAGCGAAGAGCAGACGTCGTGGCCTCTCAGTTCAGGGGAAGCCCCGAGGCATCTCTGGCTGACAAGGCTGAGCTCAGTTTTCAGGCCCAGAACTAGTCCCCAGGTTAATGCCATCGAACTGCGTGGGGGTGCAGGTGAAGCATGGCCACATAGACACGTCCAGATGGGGACACCTGATGCTCTCGCAGTCTCCCCAGGTGCCTGAAGGAGGCCTCTAGAGACTTAGAACTGTGGTATATAACAGGCCTCCATTTTCAGCACTTTAATTTCTGCATGTCCAAGGAAGCATGCGTGGAAGGAGGGCAGAGAGCTGAGCCTCAGAGCAGTAATGCCAAGGAAGTAGGTGAGAGGGCTGCCTGCAAAGTCTCACAGGCCAACTACAGAGGCAGAAGAACTGGCAGGAGGGTTAGCAAGGTGGCAGGTTGCAGAATGGTTGCAAGAAAGAATGCTTTGGAGTGGGTCTAGAGTGTGTGGCTAGTCCTTGGGGACACCCAGTGTTGGGGTGGTGGGGGGCAGCAGAAGCAGGAGGAAGAGGAAGGGGTGGTGGAGCAAAGACGATATAGAGCTGGCCACTCTTTCTATTCGTTTCACAGTGAAGGGAAGGAGCAAGACAGGATACTTGCTGGAGGCAGAGACTTGAAAGAATTTGCTCTGACTTGAAAGAATTTGCTTTGCAGGCTGGAGGACTGGACAGCTTTAGGGATAGAGGAAGGAGCCAGCCAAACAAGGTTGAAAGAAAAAGGCTAAGGCCATGGTGGATGTGGGACAAAGCCCTAGACCATCTATTCTGGCTGTCATTTTGTCACTTACTGAACCATTTCTGTTCTCTAACTCCAAAAGTGTGAGAATTTCTGGCAGAAGAATCTACACCACGGTTTACTCTGTAACAGACAACAAAAACAAGTAAAGCTTTGTTGCAGAGTATTTTTAAAAAACAAAACCAAGACAACTCACTAAAGGTGGTGAGTCAGTTACCTCTAGCAAGTGGGAATTTCACTTGTAATTGTGTACACTTTTTTTTTTTCTGGAGACGGTGTCTTGCTCCGTCAACCAGGCTGGAGTGCAGTAACGCGACCTTGGCTCACTGCAACCTCTGCCTCCCAGGTTCAAAAGATTCTCCTGCCTCAGCCTCCCGAGTAGCTGGAACTATAGGCGCGTGCCACCAGGCCCGGCTAAGTTTTTGTAAAGATAGGGTTTCGCCATGTTGGCCAGGCTGGTCTTAAATTCCTGACCTCAAGTGATCCGCCTCCCTTGGCCTCCCAAAGTGCTGGGATTACAGGCGTGAGCCACTGTGCCCGGCATTGTGTATATTTTTATGTTAATGAACAGTATATTTTAAAATGCAAAATACAATTGGAAAATTCTATAGTAGAACCTTTTGTGTAGTGAAAAAAGCCTCCAAAATGCTTCTGTAAATGAAGAGGTTCATGTACTGGGTTGCTCAAAGTCCCCTGCAGTCCCCACTTCTTGGCAGGACAAGGGAGTGCCAGGAGAGCACTTCCTGCAGCACTGCAAGCGCTCAGTTCCTAGGGGCCTGGCCTGTGCCCACTTCAGCAAAAGGAATGGTGTCTTTTTTTTTTTTTTTTTTGAGATGGAGTCTCGCTCTGTCGCCCAGGCTGGAGTGTAGTGGCACAATCTCAGCTCACTGCAACCTCCGCCTCCCAGGTTCAAGCAATTCTCCTGCCTCAGCCTCCTGAGCAGCTGCCATGCCTAGCTACAGCTTTTGTATTTTAGTAGAGATGGAGTTTCACCGTGTTGCCCAGGCTGGTTTCGAACTCCTGAGCTGAGGCAACCCACCCGCCTCGGCCTCCCAAAGTGCTGGGATTACAGGCATGAGCCACTGCGCCCAGCCATGTGCTGCTTTTTCAGAAGGAAAACAATCTCCTTGGAGTCACTCAGCACTGGCATCTCCAGCTAGTGCCTGCAGGATGGCCTCTCGGGCATTGCCACCTCCGGTGGCTACATGGGCCTGACCTGCTCACTGGCCTGAATGTGCAGTGGTGCCCAGGGTCTCCAATGCCAGGAGATCACATTAAAACCTTTGGGTATTTGGAAAGGGGAAGAGAAAGTGGGGGTGTGGGAGAGGAGGAAGAGCAGCACTACTGGTAAGAGTTGTGTCCCCACCTCCACCAAGCTTCCAAGATGTTGGTGCAGCAGGGAGAGAGGAAGCACTGCTCCCAGGCCTTTCCCCGACTCCTCCCACAGCTTCCCTCCCTGAATCAACCTAAGAAAGGTGCTGCAGGAGGGGCTCTTAGGATGTACACGGTTTCCAGAGGTGGCTGCTCCCTTTTCTGGGCTGTGAATCATCCTGTCCGTGGAGAGGGACTAGCTCAGGCTGCTTGACCCAGGGAGTGACCTCTCAGCTCCTCGGGGGGATGCTGCTGCTCCAAAAGTAAGGGGGCAGGGAGAGTTCAAGCCCAACCCCCTTCCTCCCAACCCAACTAGGACTCCTCTCCAGGGGTCAGTGGCAACTGTCGAGAGGCACACCATTCTCATGGTTTCCATTTCCGTCTCCTCATCCCAGTAATAGAGGCTGGCAAGCTGACATCTTACTGTCTTTCCAAAACTAGGAGTCTCTAGTTAGGCGGTAATAAGGCAGCAGCTAGCTAGCTAGCTTATTACTGAATCAGATGAAAGAGAACAGAAAGAATCAGACCACCCCCAAGGGGCCAGGGGATGCAGTTTATGTCCCAAGGGCTGACAGGGACTTCTAAAGAGGGAGCTGCCCTGGTACACATTGTATGCCAGCACTTTCTGGGGGACTTGAAAGAACCTCCAGTTCTAAGGCTTGATCTTCCAGCTGGCAAAGTGCAGCAACCACTTACTACAAACTCATGTCTATTTGAACTCGGATGACATGGCCTTAAATATGTTGGGCAACCTTGGGCTCCTCTGTCATTGGAGAGGGTGGGGAGGGCCATCTGAACGCAAGGCCTCCACTTCCTCTTCCAACCTTGGGCTCTGGGATTTATTCTTAAAGAGATGCTAAGAGCACCATAGCCTGGACCCAGGCCTCTGTGATGCAGAGGCGAGGTCCACCTGGCTCCACCTTCCCCACTTCTCAGCCTGCGAAGCTAGTCTGCATCTTCTGGCTTCGTCTTTAGTCTTGAACAACTTAAACTCATCAGTTTAACAAAGTGAGGTCCTGTCTGTCTTTGCAGGATTGTTGCCATGGCAGGACTCAGGCGTTCTTAGATGCTGCCTCAACCCCAACAAGCAGTTTCTCTCCACACTCCCTTCCCATTGGCTCCATACACTCTTAAAGCATCGGTGCACATGCAGACCACCATCTGTTTACAAAATGTTAATTTAAAAACAAAACACATATATAAGGCCAGGCACGGTGGCTCACGCCTGTAATCCTAGCACTTTGGGAGGCTGAGGCGGGCATTTCACCTGACGTCAGGAGTTCAACCAGCCTGGCCAACATGGTGAAACCCTATCTCTACAAAAATACAAAAATTAGCTGGGCATGATGGTGGGTGCCTGTAATTCCAGCTACTCAAGAGGCTGAGGCGGGAGAATCACTTGAATCTGGGAAGCGGAGGTTGCAGCGAGTCGAGATCGCGCCACTGCACTCCAGCCTGGGTAACAAAGTGAGACTCTGTCTCAAAATAAATAAAACTAAAACACATATATGAACTTTAGTTTGTCTTCTTCAGCTAGTGATTCATTTGTAACTTAGTGCAAAACTCAGATTGGAATGCTTCAAAGTCAAATGTTTTCCCCTGTAAGGTGGAAGCGAGAGCAGGGTCTAGTTTCAACACACAGTGGAATAGAAGTGCTGCCTGGCTCTGATTGATTGTTCCAAATGCCTGCTAGAAGCCAGAGACAGAAATGCTATCATCTATCTATCTCATTTCATGGGACAGTGGGGAGGACAGCATTTGCTAGGCCCCCACCTTCCCACTCCATTTATATGCCATGTGCTCTGCTACAGATGAGGAAATGTCTCCGAGTTCCTCATACACCCATGAGCAACTCAGCTGGTGCTGCAGGGCTAGGATCCCACCCCAGGTCTGTGGGCTCTAAAACACAGGGGCTTTCCACCAAACTGGTGATTTTCAAACCAACTTTTGTGGCACTGCCTCAGGAGAATTTGTCCTGATATTAATAAATAATGTCCTGATAAATATTAATAACCGTCTTTTAAACTATATACACCCAAAGGTTTAAAACACATTCAGTGAGGCTGCTTGAGACTTCACTGTACAGTCTGTATTGCTGTGTGTGTGTGTGTGGCCTTTGCAGGGGTCACTGACTGGGAGGGCACCAGCTTAGTGCTGTGATCATTAGGCCCAGGGCCAACTCAGACCTGGTGGCCCTGAGCATAAAGTAATTTTAGTGCTTATAAATCTTTGGGTGTCTCTCATCTGATATATGGATGATAAAGACTGAAAGCAGGTTTTGGATATTCTTCTATTAATCCCTTTTTTCAGGCATGTACTTCAGTTTTGTCAACAAGAGATTGCAGGCAAGCTGTGACTACTACCATTTGCAACCGCTTACCTATAAAACTCAAATTTTTTAAAATTAAACTCCCCCATATTATATAACAACTAAAACAAAATCCAGAAATTGGATGCTGGGACAGTTCACAGTGAACCTATCATCTGCACTAATGAAAAATGCTCCCTCCCCAAGCCCACTGATTTTAAGATGTTATGACTTAAACTGTGATGATTCATGCTAATAACATATCATTTGTTTTTATGTATTTGAAAAGTTAAAAACAAAAACACTGGATTAGACTATCACAACATTTTGATTTTGGTTAAGAGGGAGAGAAGGGCTCATAATTCAAGCCTTGTGATGGCAATTGCCTAAGCTCCTCGCTGAGATTTCAACGAGAACCAATACAGCTATTTACATCAGGCTTTCTGGAGGCCCAAGAGCACAAGAAGAGGGTTAGGAGTCGGGAAAGTATTTTCCTTTTTTTATGGGACAGGGTCTCCCTCTGTTGCCCAGGCTGGAGTGCAGTGGCGTGATCATGGCTCACCACAGCCTGAAACTCCTAGGCTCAAGAGATCCTCCCACCTTAGGCTCCCAAGTAGCTGGGACTACAGGTGTGCACCACCATTCCTGACTAGTTTATTCATATTTTTTGTAGAGACAGGTTTATTTATATTTTTCGTAGAGATGGGTCTCAACATATTGCCCAGGCTGGTCTTGAACTCTTGGGCTCAAGTGATCCTCCCACCTCGGCCTCCCAAAGTGCTGGGATTACAGGCATGAACCACTGTGCCTGGCCAAGAATGACTTTTATTCAAATTTTGCTGTTAACTCATTGGTAATCTGGATGTCTTTGGCCCTCTCTGAGTCTCAGTTTCCTCAATGAAAAAGGAGGAGATTGGATTAGTGATTTTCAGACTTTTTATTTTAAGAAACAAACAAAACCTTTCTTCATACCAGATCTTACTTTTAAATCTAATAAAGCTTTGAATGGGCCTGGAGGCTCCCTCTCCACGAGGCCCCAGAGAACAGTATGAAAACCGTGGAAGTAGGTGACCTAAGGTCCCTTCCGCCTCTAAACATCAGGAATCCATGAACCCTGCCTCTGGAAGATAAATAGTGACCCCCCCCCCGCCCCCTCCTCGCTGAGAGCCCCTCTCTCCTAAGAGGCTGAGCTGATTCATACCCTGCACCTACGACACTGGATTATAGCACTGGCAGGAGAACCACAGTGACAACCCAAATCCAGGGGCTCAACAACTGTTTGTGGGTGAAAATGACAGATTTATTCAACTTAAATGGTCACCGAGGCTACAGCAGAACCAATGCTGTTACAATAGGCAAGCACTACTGTCAGCAGCAACATACCATTTATTTCTTCAACAGCATCTGAGCCTCATGGGTTATGTTTTCATTAAAAAAAAAAATCTTATAAGCTAGTTGGGAAGCTGTTAAAGGCCAATTTTAAATGGCAATGTAAAACAAATTTCACTGAAAATACAATTCAAATACAACTGCTATGAGCACTGTAAGAAAAACTGACTAGTTACTCAGATATAATAGAAAAGACCTTAAATGGTAAATAAAACAATAGCAGCATTTAAAAACCTGGTAACTCCCATTTCAGAAGACGCCCTTCCCCTGCCCAGACCTTCATGCCTCTGAACACCTGCCTAGCCTAGGAGAGGCCTGTTCAAGCAGGGAGGCTACTGGTATCTGCACACAACATGCAGATGAGCTCTACACCAGCCGAGAGGAACAAGGCTTCAGTGCAGTTGTGTGCTGGGGACAGCAGGACTCGTGTTTAAGTGTCAGAGGCTTAGAGGGGTCAGCTCTGAACTAGAAGTCTCTCACATATCTGGTCCTGCCCTTGAGAAATCTTGTCAGTAATCTCAACTTAGAACAACTTTCTGGAAAATGTGACTAGAAATTAAACAGCTGGGACTCCTGCCACATTATCCAAAAGTCCAAATGGATAGTCACTTTGCTCCACAGCCCAGGGTCCACTTTAAATTCTGCTGTTAGCCCTCACCTACTGCAATCAGGTGGATACAGCTGCAGCCCTGGGGACAGGTCACTTGAACTGGCAGCAGCTAAATGAAATCCTGCAACAGCACCTTCAAATCAGCCCTCATTCCCAAAAGATCAATAGAGGTCAGGGCTAGAGTTAACTTCAACAGGCATGGGATCTCCCAGCCTCATGTGCAAGCAGGCAAGTATATCAGGATATGCCTTTAATTCTCATCTTGATGTTTTTTAATAGCCAGAGATTGTTTAACAGGTCCTCCAGCACCTTCTGTTCATTCTCCTTTAGATCTACCACAGTAACATTCTAATTCATAGAATATTCTTTGCTAACATGAAAAGAGTTAGCATATAAGCAAAATTATTACAGGAAAACTTTTCTGTACATCCTCATAGAGAATCTCAGTGGATTAAGGCAGCTGTAACTTGTTTTGGACTGCAGTTACAGAGGCCAAGGTATAGAAGAAAGGTAACGAGAGTGCCAGGATAGGAAAGTTCTGAGATGAAGACAACCTGGCAGCTCAAAGTCACAGTTCATGCCCTGTTGCTTCAGACCAAATTCCCTCTACAGCCTGAAGCAAGCTGGCCTTGCCCACAGAGAACTGCCTTTCTCCATATGCAGCCACCTCCCTCAGGGCAATTCCTTGCCTTGGATCCTCACTGCACCTGCTTCACCAGCATCTTGGCTCTTCATCTCCCTACCCCCAGAGAAGCTTTCCATTTAGGAGCTCGCAACGCCCTTCCTAGGCCATGCCAGTGTTTTAATTTGCTGGAGACTAGCCCACAGGAACAATAGTGGCTGTGTGTAGACACGATGGCCATGGCACACACTCATGGTTTTCACAACTTCATATGAATACACAGACTGGGCTGCCTGGCGGACTGAGGGTAGCTGAGATGGCACATTCTCCTTCCACAGAAGAATGATTTCTTGTTTTCAAACGCCTGCTGGGTGGCACTTACGGCTTTCACACTAGAACCAGCTCAGCTGGCTCTTTGTGTTTGTATACTTTAGGTAGAAGGTACATTCAGAAAGTGACCCTAGAGAGACTGCCCCAAAGAGTGAAGGCCTCTGGGGAGCTCTGAGCAGGTCACTCTGGATCTTAGCCAACTCACCACAGATGCTGGGCTGGCGCCTCTGGAGCAAGGCACCCCTCAATACCAACCTTCCCGAGGGAGGAACAGCATAACATATCTCACCCACAGACCCATGTGATGGGAGGGATGCCCAACAGTGCTGTAGGGTAAAGAAAAATCTACCTCTGTGAAGAGCAAGAACTAGTATTGAAGTGACTAGATGCCACAGTCCTGCTGTAAGAGCTAAGGAGCAGAGGTTCCTCTCTGTGTGGAGAGAGGGCGGGAAGGAGACCTCTAGTTGACTGCATAACCCAATCACATCTAATTCCATTTCTGCCCCCAGTTCTCTCTGCCCACCCATAGTCTATCCTTCAAGAACAACAGGCAGAAGCATTTTCTCACCCCCACCCCACATCTCCTTCCACTCCCCGACTGAAGGGGCCAGAGTACTGGCTGCCCTGAAATCAGAGCAGCAGCTAAAAATGGAGCCTTGAGGCGAGAGGTAGTTGTAATGACTACTGATGGGAACTCTTCAGAGAAGGAGGAATAGCTGCCAGGTCAGATCCCTGACTGCTTTGCCCTCTTTTAGCCTGGGAGATTTTAGGAGCAAAATCACTGAGGAAATGCGTTCAGTGCTTGAACATCATGGTGAGGCTCCTTGCCAAGGTCTAGAGTCGGAAGGCTATCTGTAGCTTTCCTTTGCCAAAGGTCAGTTTCCCAGCAGGCCCTCAAACACTTCTGTGTGAGAGGGAAAAGGGACGAAGAGGGGATAAACCACAGGGCAAAGAATTAGGAAGTGTTAGCAAATGCTACCATGTGGAACACTCAACTTTATTTGCTTTATTTATATATTTAACAATTCTAAAGTATTTACTTCTTGCTTTGACAAAAAATGAAAAATATAGGAGCACTGACTGACTCCTCTTTAGGAGAAAAGGGTTATATGTACAGCTATGGAGAGTTACGGTTCCTCCTTTAACAAAGGAAAATATTAATAAAAAAGTGCTTCATCGATCAAAAAAGAGCTAAGAGCTGCAAGCATTTATTCACACTGTACATCAGACCCAAGAAACCCGTATCATAACCTCTTGGCACCTGTCACTAGGAAATGCACAATCTTCAATTAGACCAACTTTTTCCCTACCTGCACGACTAGATGACACAGAATGTGGAAAAGAACTACACCCTGTTTCACCACGTTCAAACTGTGTTGCCACTGGAAGTCAGAGACGTGCTCAGATGCTCTGGGCTTTGCCTGGACTGAGAGCACCAGGGAAGCCTTCTGGGCCACGCCTTAACCACACCCAGGCATGCACAGAACCACCTTCCTGAGACACACCTTGCCCTTGGTCAGGGAACTGCTACCAAGGGGAAGAGGAATACAGGGCAGGGCCAGAGCTTAAGCATTCCCTGACCTTACCCCTAGTCCTCACCATGATCCACCCTGTCACCAGTTAGCAGCTTTCAGCAGAGTCAAGCATGGCCTCCCCAAGAGGGAGGGCAGGCACAAAACATGGATGCCAAGATTACAAAGCACAAACCTAACTCTTCTCCAACCTTCCCCACACCTACCTCCACAAATATTCTTGATTTAAGGCTGTTTTTGGACCATATCAAAGCTCACTGAGGAAAGGTGCCCTGAATCTCCTCAAGGCCATGTCACTTCTCTAAGGAACCCTACGAAGTCACCAAGTGGCCCTTCACTGCTGGCCAGCAGCCAGACAAGTGCCCACTCAGACAGCCAGGAGTGGCAAAGGGGGACTGCTCAGCAGTTATTCCTGTCCCAAGAAGAGAAGAGGAGAAAGGCTGATTGTATGGGACCTGCTCCCTTTTCCAGGGGCTTGTAACTCTAAAGGCTGATTCTACCCCTTAAAGGGAAGATCCATGATTGGTTTGGTTTGGGAACGGGGGATTTCTGGAACCCTGAGTCTGGATTTCCCTGTGCTGGCTGAGGAAGAGATTGTTTAGGGGACCAGGCCCCAGAATGGGGACCCAGGTGTGTCTGGGCTCAGGGCAGGCTTTGGCCTTGACTGCATAAACATTTTGACCAGTCTGTACTCATGCCTGAGGGTGGGAAGTGCTACACAGCCTGGCCCAGGAAAGCAGCCCCCTGAAAGTAAAAGGAGCCCAAGACAATCTGGGTCAAGTTAAAAATGGGATCCCACGGGGGACAACATGACGGCTACCCACTCCCAGCCCCTCGCCTGCCTCAAAGGAGCATCCACTTTCCTTTCCCAAAGAGGCGCCTAAGGGGATGCCATTTACCGTGTGCCTCTCCCTCCAAACATCAGCCTCATTTATCCATCTGTGAGGGGACTGGCTCAGCTCCTCGCAGGAGGGAGATGATGCCCAGGGCAGTGCTCTTGGGGAATATGCTTCCAGCCTCCCCAGCAGCAAAGGGTTCCCAACCAGCTCTGATGTGGCGGTGGCGTGAGGAATGGTTGCATGTTAGCACTGGCTTTCTTCCCTGCTCACGGTCTCAGATCTCCATACTCCTGGCTCTGACCACCATCCTCCCACCCGGAAGAAACAAGCCATCCCTCAGTGTCACGTGACAGCAGGCAGCTCGGCAGTTACAGTGGGCCTGGCAACCCTTGGTCTTCCATCAAAAAAAAAAAAAATTAAGACAACCAAGGGAAAGTTTCCTTTTTTGAAGGCAGAGGAGGAGGATGGAAAAGGTAGGGAGGGAGTAGGGGGACAGGAAAGAAAAATCAATCTACAATCCAGTGGTGCATCCCAAATCTGTCACTCTGTACAGGTGGTTCCACGCTCCCATTCCAAAGTGCACGGGCCTCTCGGTCTGCCCAGGTTGAGTGGGCCTGTCATAGGAACAGCAGCTTGGCCACTGCCCACCCAGGTCACTGAGCTTCAGTTGGAAGTGGCAGCAATGGGCTTATCCAGTTCAAGGTCAATGCTGGAGCTTGTGGGATGTAGGCTGCTATAGCAAGACTTGCATACTCGACTGGGTTCAAAGAGCTGCTGGCTGGGAACTGGAACCTTCTGGTTACAACAACTGGAGCAGAATACGTTCCCACAATTCCTTGAGATGAGAAGAAACAGAACAATGTTAGTTTTGGCCAGCAGGTATGCGGAGGGAAACCAACTTCAAAAGACAAACTTTGCCGTGTGTAATTTGCATGTGCTGGAGCTCCTTGAGATCAAACCCTTTCATCTCTCTAGCCCAGGAACAAGCTGGGTAGGGAGGGTGTCCCTACCTAGCAGAGTCACATGTCATTTTCACTTTGGGGCCAAGGATTCTTGGCTGCCTCACCACTGACTCAAAAGAATGCTGCTCAGGTATACAAAAGAATGCTGCTCAAGAGAGATCTGTAAGAATACATGGTCCTAACAATGGGTTAGTCCTGATCCAGGAAAACCCAGTGGCCACACCCACCTAGGCAATGCCCTCTGTGTAGCTTGTGATCACAGAGGCCAGGCTCCTCAAACGAGAGAAACAACTACCCAGCCTCACTGGGGAGTAAGGAGCCTTGCCCAACGGCCACTTCTCCAGAGGATCAAAGGCAGCAACATGGCAGATAGACTGCTGCCATTTTGGACTGCTCTGCTGGCAGCATGCAAAGCCAGGGACAAGTAGCCTGTGATGCATGCTCAGAGGGTGAAAGAGGAGAGGTGGGAGGACAAGAACACAGGATGAACACACGTGCACACACACCCCCTTATTAGATAGGTGTCAGTCAATTATGGCTCACTCCCCGACCCATGCATCTCCAGGGAAAACCAGAGTTCTACCAGAAGGCCAGAATGCACTCAGGCCCCAGGCATCCCTCTCCTCCTCCCCTGAAAGCTGGGTTCTGAGGCATCTGTGCAGCACAGTTCTGCACCCCCAGATGGATGCCCATCAGAGCCAACAGGAAAGGGAATTGGCAAAGAATGAGTTTCTGCCCACCTTACAACTCTACTTTTGCTGGGCCCTGAGGTACAAATCAATCCTAATGAGCCTAAGAACAAGAAGCTCCAAGGAGCCTGACACAGCCCACCAAAGACTGGGGGAGGGCAGCTTCTTAGCCTTCTAACTTTTCATTTATGCTGTTCGGAATGCAAACCCACTGCTGGATTAAGGATCACTTAGGCACAGGAGGAGAGAAGACTAAGACCAGTTGGGAACAAAAGAATACCACAAAAGGAAAAGGTGGGACATGGGGCAATGGAAAGACAGAAAAGAAAAACACAAAATTCATCTTCTAGAATGCTGTACTTCGTAACTAGTTCTAAAAAGCGTGAGTCAGCAAAAACCTGTAGTTACACAGAAAAATTTCTGAACATCTACACTTCTTTAACATTCCTGCTGGAGTTCAGCTCAAAAGCCTGACATGAATTTGATGCTTTTCTTTCTTTTCTTTACTTTTTCGAGATGGGAGTTTTGCTCTTATTGCCCAGGCTGGAGTGCAATGGTGCGATCTTGGCTCACTGCAACCTCCGCCTCCCAGGTTCAAGAGATTCTCTTCTCCTGCCTCAGCCTCCCAAGGAGCTGGGATTACAGGCGTGCACCACCATGCCCAGCTAATTTTGTATTTTTAGTAAAGATGGAGTTACACAATGTTGGTCGGGCTGGTCTTGAACTCCTGACCTCAGGTGATCTGCCATCCTCGGCCTCCCAAAGTGCTAGGATTATAGGCGTAAGCCACCGCACCTGGCTGATGCTTTTCTATCTGACTTCTTTCAGAGGACCCTGAAAGACACTAAGTGGAATCTTTCCTTGAAGTCTTCCAAGCTAAAACAATTCTCTGGAAAGATCACCTCTGTTCAGTCCTGGTCTCTTAAAAAAAAAAAAAAAAGGGAAAAAAGAAGCAGTGATGCTGTTTGACCTGGAAATTACTAGCATTATTCTGGCATCTCAATGAATCACTGACCCAAAATAAATAGCTCTGAAAACCCAACTGGTTCCCCTACAAGACCAGAAGACAAGAAGCACTACTTCTCGTCACAAGCAAGACGGCCTGGCTGACCTCTGTGATCAGGAGGGGAGCACATGGCTGCAGCCTGACCCACCCTCGATGGCCTCTCCTCAGCTGCTTTGAATCCCCTCAAGCCCACCTATCTGCCTGTGCACCCAAGGCCCCAGGCTTCACCCTAGTAAGTGCAGAGAGGGGGAAATGATAAGAGTTAGTGTGGAGAAGTTATTGTAGATGTGCAGACATCACAGGCAGGTTGTTGCAAATGCTCACCACGTTTGATCAACACGGTCAGTGTCCCTGCAAGGAGGGGAGAAAGAGCTCAGAAGAGAAGCCAACCAAAGATATCTGGGCTTGGGGTGCAGGGTGGGGAGATACATGTCCTAGAAGCATCATTACTAGGCAAAGAGACTGTTCCATTTTCAATCCACCCACTCGTGTGGGTGAGCTATGGCATGATTCAGATAAACTTCCTCTTCTAAGAACACTGAACATCCACCAGACAGTCAACACCCTAGCTGGGGCAAAGGGTCCCTAGTAAACTCACTACCCTAACCCAGAAGGAAAAAGAAGTCAGGAACCTTAATGATTGGAAGACTGTCCTCAGCTGTCTCTACTACTTCCCAAGCTACAGCTGCTCACCAATGGCACAAGGGAAAACAAGTGTGGGGTCAGGGAGCAGGAAAGGAATAGGAAAATAGTTCCCTCCCCATCGCAGGAAAACTGGTTTTGCTCATAGTAGCCATGTTGAATGGGAAGAAATGTTATGCTGAGAATAAGAAATGGTGGTTTCAGTGGTGGCTGTTGTTTCACCAATCTGGGAAACAACAAAATGCTACCATTTGCACATTTCAGAATTTAACAGTGATTACTCTGAATTTGAACAAAGATGCCAAATGCAGTTTTGCAAACACCAATTTCAGAGGCACAGGAAGATGAGACCATGGCTCTGCCTCAGACAGAACACTGAGATACCCACAACCCTCTACTCTGCAGGCTCTGTGGGCCGACCCTCAACCTCCACACACAGCCCACCCTACCACAGCCCCTCAATGGTACCTGCAGTGGTGCTTCCTGCTGGCAAGCCAGAAGGCACTGTCGCACGCATAGCAGTGGGCGGCCAGGTGGTCAGGAAGCCAACGGGTCATCTGCAAAACAGATGGGACCAGGTTACTGACAGGAGATGGGCCATCCAGCTGGAGCCAGCAGAGCCATGCTGGGGGCAGCAAGAGTCACAAGGACCACATCAGCTCCAGTGGCACCAGCCCAGCAGATCTGATGTCAACAGTACAAGAAAGGCGTCCAAATCGTTTCCCTGGAGGGGACTCCAATCTCCCCTGAGATAAAGTAGCAGGCAGCAGCACCCTGGGTCACTGTGAGAGCTGGCAAGGCTCCAGTTCATAGAGGCAATGAAGAGGGAGGGCCAGCTTGCTGAGTCTCCCTGGCTCAGAAATCCTAGGCTTCATGTGGGTTCCCAGGAGCTAAGGTGCCAGAGGCTCAGGGCTAGCTGTGCTGGGAGGTGCTTCCTTGGCCAGGGGTATGGGGTGGGAATGGGGGTGGAGAAGAACCACAAAACAGTTAAATTGATGGCACTCAGAGCAGGGGCTGAGCCTGTACCTCTGTGTCCTGTTTATCCACCTGCTCCCAGCTGGCTTCAGAGAAAATCTCTGTGCTGCAGCGAGACAAACAGTTCTGATCCAGATTGCTTTCCGAGTCGGGGATTGAAGTCTGTTGGCAAACAAACACAGCTGAACAGAATGAACCTGGTCTCCTCCCAAAAGAAGAAAAGGCCTGGTGAAGAAGGGAGAACTGAGGACTCTGGGTGGGGCCGAGTGCTAGGACTGCCGAATCTGCAGATGCATCAGCCATCAAGAACTGGGGTGAAGAAGTGCAGTGTGGGCCTGGGCTCAGCTGGGAGAGGGATACACAGGTTGTGTGCAGTGACTCTGGAGTAGAAAAACAGGCCCTCAGGGTTCCAGAAAGTGAGTGAGAGGGAAGTGACCAAAATGGAATGAGAATTCTGTATGTCAGCTGCTCCAGTGGGCCTGTCAATCCAACCCTGCCTGCCACTAAGTTAAAGCTGAGTGCTTTCGGGATGCCCTCCTTTTCTTAGAAGGACTCTCTGGGAACATGAGAAACTATCATTAGCATGAAGGAAAAGCCAAGTCACTCTGAACTGAAAGTCACTGGATGTGCCCGCCTTTAATGTACGCTGACCACTTGAGAGCCAGGCTCACACTTGTACTTGAGCTGCCTGAGTCAAGTCCACCCAGAGAGGAAAGCACCTCCTTGAGAACCTCCCCCTCTGGAACCCCCATTTCCAGCCACAAACCCCCATCAGAGCTAACTCCTCAACAGTGCTAGAAACCAGTCCCTTCTCTCCATTTCTACTGGCAGCATCTGCCACAGGATGGGTATAAATATTTGTTTAAAAAGAACTGAACCTTCAAAGCCATAGCCCACGTCTGGAAGGACTAATACTTTGTAGTTACTAAGGCAGAACAGGCACTAAAATCTGACAGGAATAACTTGGCATTGCCCTACAGATGTCATTCTGCCCATGGGTTCAAGCCCTTCTGAAGACTTATGATCCTGTGTCTGAGAGATCTGATCAACCATGCAGTGCATGCTAAGTCTCTTCCTCTCCAACGGCCTCAACAGGACATCTGCAGAAAGTAAGCGAAGCAGAAAACAGGCAGGCTGCCATCGCTGTCGTGGAGGCTCATCTCCAGCCTCTCTTAACAGGGCTACTCTGGACCTTTCCAATCCTTTAACAACCTGTACCAATCACCATGCACTGGGCACAAAGGGCACCCAGCCTCAGCATGCCGTCTCCTTGGGCAGCTATGGAGGAATACCACAGCCTACTCACCACCTCATCCCCAAAGTCTCCATTAAAGTGTAGGGAGCTGGTCAGGTACTGGCTCTCCAGGCGACTCTTCAGCTCCTGGACTTGTTTCTTCAAAGTTTCTACTTCCTGCTGGTGGCCTGACTCAATCTGACGCAGGCGCTGTTGGATCGTGTCTGTGTACACTGACATGCCATCATCGTCCAGGTGGCTGCGGGAAGGCTGGTCGGGGCTGCTGGTTGCAGATGGCCTTCCTGAGTGGCTATGCAGCCACTTGTGGTGCAAGTTCCTTGAGTGTAAGTGGGCAGAGCTGCAGCTCATAGCAGACAGCTGACGGCTCAGTGAGTCCTTGCTCCTACCAGCCTCCCCATTGGCGCAATGCCCATTGGGTGTGGGGTACATCTGGAGGGTGCTAAGACCTGGGGGCTGCTCTGAGGCCCTGTTTTCAGTCTCTGGGGCACCATTGCACACAAGCCCCTCTTTACATTCGGCTAAAGGCAAGGCACAAGGGGAACGTGTCAGGCTGAGAGTGCTGCCAAGGGAAGTCCTATGCACCACAGACCCCACTTGGGGCCTCTCGACCAGGCTTGTCTCTGAAGGGCTGGGTTCCATGGTCTGAGGAAGCCTGTCCTTGCCACTATTTACAAGGCAAGATCTATGATGACCTTGGGGCCCACTTACTGACTTCACCTTATCTTCCACTAACATGTCTGTAGAACTGTCCACGTTTGGTCCTCTGGTCTCAAAAGGGACTTGGGAAGGTAGCAGAGAACATGACTGTGAGGTACCATAGCCAACTTTTGCATCTACTGGGATTGGAAGAACTGCTTCCTCCCTACCCTCTGCAATCTCTTCTATTCGAAACTGCTCCACAGGGACCTCCAGGGAATCCTCTCCCCTGGGGGGGACCTGGAGAGAACTGAGGAGAACACTGAGCCCACTCTGCTGTTCAGAAATGCCCTGTGAGAACAGAGGCCAGCTCATATCCAGATGGCTCCTCAGAGCAGCATCACCCAGTTCTGGGTCTTGGTGAAGTCCAATGGCTGAGGCCTCAGGTGTCTTCCTCCTGCTCTCCTTTTCTAAGAGAGGGTCCTCTTTACCCTCCTGTATCTCAATGCCTGCCCTGTGGGCAGGTTCCTCTACTCCACTCTCCTCTTTGGTGGCCTCCTGCAAGATGTTCTCCATCTGCCCCTCAGCTACTCCGGCTGCAACAGAAAGCTCGGCACCCCCCGGCACTCTGGTGGGCTTCCCTAGGCTGTCGGCAGAAAGGGGATCCTCTCCAGGGCCAGCCAGGCTGCTCAGCTCTAGTGAGCGCCGGTGCTCCTGCCACTTCTCGTTCAGGCTGGGGTCGCTGCAGCGCCGGCTGGCCAGAGGCACTGTGTTGTCACAGGCTGTGGTCAGATTGTCGTATGATCTAGTCTTTGGTAGCCTAAAGGAAAGGAATTTGGGGGAAATGAAAATCTTGGAAACTGTTTGGAGGAAGTAGGAGACAATAGGTTTTAACAAGCAGTTGTTTCATAACTGGGTCCATTATGGCTACTCATGGAGCTGTAGCATCTCTGGAGCGAGGCCCAGACTGCTGGAGCAGCAAAGCTCCGGAACAAGTCCTCCTAGTGTGCAGATTTCCTTTCAAACTCCCCCAACCCCATGCCCCATACATACAAATGAGCTAACAGCAAGTGCTATTTTCTTTTTTTTTTTTTTTTGAGACGGAGTCTCACTCTGTCGCCCAGGCTGGAGTGCAGTGGCGGATCTCAGCTCACTGCAACCTCCGCCTCCCAGGTTCAAGCGATCCTGCCTCAGCCTCCTGAGTAGCTGGGATTATAGGTGTGTGCCACCACGCCCGGCTAGTTTTTTTGTATTTTTAGTAGAGATGGGTGTTTCACCATTTTGTTCAGGCTGGTCTTGAACTCCTGACCTCAGGTGATCCGCCCACCTTGGCCTCCCAAAGTGCTGGGATTACAGGCGTCAGCCACCGCGCCCGGCCTGCAAATGCTATTTCCAAAAGACGTTCTTCATGATGCTGCTGTGTTTCTCAGTGGATGGCAAAGTAGCACTGGTGTTTCTTGATATTACAGTATTTTAAATTAATGTATTATCTATCAGTCTGAATTTAATAAAGCTAATTCTCAAGTGACAAAGCCAAATTTTCTTTTCTTTTTTTTTTTTCCTGAGACAGGTCTTGCCCTGTCATCCAGGCTGGAGTGCAATGGATCTTGGATCACTGCAACCTCCACCTTCCAGGCTCAAGTGATCCTCCTGCCTCAACCTCCCAAGTAGCTGGGACTACAGGTATGTGCCACCACGCTTGGTTAGTTTTTGCATTTTGGGTAGAAACAGAGTTTCAACACATTGCCCAGGCTGGTCTGGAACTCCTGGGCTCAAGCGATCCTCCCACCTTGGCCTCCCAAAGTGCTGGGATTACAGGCATGAGCCACCAAGCCTGGCCCCAAAGCAAAATTTTCTGTCATCTGACAGCATCTGCCTTTTAAGCCTCAGAAGACAAATCATGGCAAATAGGCAGGAGCACAGAGCACTGGGGAAAACACAAACCAGGGGGTCACAGAAAAACTGGAGGATTTGCTCTATCACTGAGGAGCGGCTCAGTGTATGCAAAACAACATGAAGCAACAGGGCCTAACTCACTCCCAGAAACAAGGATCTTACAGCCTCGTAGCTCAGAAATCCCTATAACTTCCCTGAAAAAACTGCAGAGACCTAAGAAAGATACTGTGGAGCCAGATACCATCATGATCTCTGACCATCCCTGCACACGTCCCAACACAGGAATACACCCACACAGGCTGTCAGGCCTGTGGCATCACCCTGGGCTCACCGGCTCAGGGGGGGATCATCAGGGCTGGTGCCTGGGGCTGGGTATGGTGCACAGCTGTCGTCCACAGGGGTGGTTGGGGATGGGCAGGGCAGGTACACTGCACTCCACAGCATCAGGTTACGCACATGGCACACAGGGTACAGCACCTGAGGAGGGGGGAGGACACAGGTTTAAATATGCCCCAATAAGTCTTCTAGGATGTCTGGAAATGAGGATCAAGAGCAAGCACCCAGCTGGAATACCCAACAGGGCTGACAGGATCTCCACAAAGAAGCAGCACCAATGGATACAGGTCTATCCCAAGAGGACCAATACAGGACTAGACATTTTATATAGCCAACATTTTTCACCTAAGAGCCACTTGAGAGCATGAAAATATAAAATATTTTTTAGATCCCTTTCTCATTATAGTTATTTCTTAGGTCACCTTCAATGTCTGACTTTCATCAGCTTGATTTGTTGCTTTTACTGCCTAAGAAAGTGAGTCATTCTGTTAGATGGTGATTGTCCATCCTGCTGGCACAAAAGCTTGGCTTCAAGAAACACTGTCAAACCCATTTTATGGGATCATTTAAATTAATCATGTGAAAAGAAGGAAATTTTCCTGCTGTATTGTTACTTCCCCAGAAGGCACACTGAAGGGGAGAGACAAGCAGTCAGCTTAAATCTTTTCTGTGATTACTTAAATGTAATGAGAACCATATTAATAGTCCAGGAAATCAGTATGAACTCTGATTAGCCTCCTTTTGACTTCTTTAGGGTCTAAGATGCATTCTGACAAAGCTAGTATTACTATGAAACTGACACATAGGTCTATGTGCCTCCTTTTCTCTGCTTAACAGAAGGTATTCATTCCTTCGGGGAACAAAGTCTTAAAGGGCCTGCCAGCTCTTCATGTGAGCAGAGAATCAGACAGACACACATACCAATGTCAAACACAGTTTACTGTTCTGAGACAGAAGCTTTGGTGGGTATCATTGCTTATTGACACTGGGAGGGTGCTGGGGGCCTGGTGGCAGCTCATTCTGAGCTATCAGTGCATCAGGAAGCAACTTAAGTGCCTCTCCCGTAAGACAGAATATGCTAGAAATAAGCTCTGGAGGCAGTGCCAAAAAAGATTCATGTCTAGGGTGGCAAAGTAGAGATCTGTGTTAAACCAAACCACCCTCAGCAAGTAGTCATCAGAAACAGATCAGAGCACCATCAGAAGCAGGCCTTCCTCAGGACAGAATCATGGGGGAAAAATGGAACCAGTCCATCCAGAGACAGTAGAGATGTCTTCACAAAAACAGTCACTACTCAAAAAGGCTCTCATATGTAACCAACCCCAAATTCCTTCTGCTGACCACAGTGGAAAGGCTGAAGGATACATACGGCTTCTGACTGAGAGGAATACAGTAGGTTTTTGAAAGCCTTGTTGCCTGCCCGAAGAAGTGACCACACGGAACATGTCCGTTCCTGAGTATGCTTTTCCCCTCTCTCCTTGGCGTTGTTGCACAGGAATGTTCCAAACAGGCAGGAATAGGTATGCTGCACCAGTTTCACCTATGGAAGTCCAATGAAGCACAAATTAAGCAATCAGGCATGCACACTCTGATAAGTCAGCTCAGCTGAGCCACCTTATCCTAACATCCCTGAGAACACTTCAATTTACTCTGTCAGGACGGGGAACCCAGTAAGCCATGCAGTAGCCTCCTCCTCCTCACACCACCAATTCCAGGACCCAACAACCTGAGTCAGACAGGTTGTTGGTGCCCCTATTCCTCTTAGCTTCCGTGATAAATAGTCTGAGATTGTGAATTAACAGCCACTCTCACAAGCGCCACAGCATATGAACTGGGTGCAGGAGCACGTCAGTGTACAACTCAAGTCTGAGCTGACAGTATGTTTGTAAAACTACTTGTTCATTCTACAAATTATTGAGCATTTCACATGGCCCAAACATGACTAAGGTGCTGGGCATGTAGCAATGACCAGCAAATTCTTCTGCCCTGATGGAGCTTGCTCTAGTCATAGCTGAAGAGTGACCAGTGCTATGGAGAACAAGGCAGACTGAGATGGACAGGACACATATGAGGCAGTGCAGGATGGCCTCACTGGCTGGGACCCAGTGGACTTGAAAGAGCAGGCATGTGGGTATCTGAGGGGAAGCACTCCAGGCAGAGGCAACCACAGGTGCAATGGCTTTGAGGTAAAGCACATGCTTGCAATTTCTGAGCTACAGCAAGGAGGCCAGTGTGACTAAAGGAGATTGCAGAAGAGGGAGAATGGTAGGAAATGAACCTAGAGAGGTAACCTCTAGGAAGGCCCTGGAGACCATTTTAAGAACTTTGGCTTTTGTGTAAAATGTAACTAGAGGTTTTTAAGCCAAGGAATGACACAGCCTGCCTTGTGTTTTAGAAGAGACTCTATGCTGGGATAACTCAATTGGGGCAGGAGATGATGGTGGCTTGAACCAGTGTGGTACCAGTAAAGGTGGCAATAAATAACCAGGTTTTAGATAGATTGCGAAAGCAGAGCTGCAGAATCTGACTGAATGTGGAAGAGGGAGGGAGGGAAGGAGGGAGGGAGGGAGGGAGGGAGGAGACTTGACGATGACAAAGAATTTTGCCCCAAACAAAAGGAGGGATGGAAATGCCATATGGTGAGAGAGAAGACTTCTGGAAGATCAAGTTTTATAGTGAGGAAACACAGGAATCAAGAATCAAGTTTTGGACAGGCATGGTGACTCATGCCTGTTAATACCAGCATTTTGGAAGGCCGGGGTGGGAGGATATTGTTTGAGCCCAGGTGTTTGAGACCTGCCTGGGCAACAAAGCAAGACCCCATCTCTTAAAAAAAAAAAAAAAATTAAAAACATCAGCCAGGCACAGTGGTACGCACCTGCAGTCCTAGCTACTCAGGGGGCTAAGGTGAGAAGATCACTTGACCCTGGGAGTTCAAGGCTGCAGTGGGCTGTGTTTGCGCCACTGTACTCCAGCCTGGGTGACAGAGTGAGATGCTGTCTCCAAAAAGAAGCATCAAGTTTTGAATTTATTAAGTCTGAATCAACATTAAGACAGCCAAGTGGAGATACCTAGTAGTAACTTAGATACGTGAGTCTGAAGTGGAGAGGTCTAAGCTGAAGGTGTATAAATGTGGGACTCATCAGCATACAGATGGCAATTAAAGCCACTAGAATGGATGAAATACTTGGAAGTGTGGATGGAGGAGCAGCCTGGAGGCTGAGCAAGGGGGCATTCCAACATTTAGAACTGGGGAGAGGAGGCTAGGTGTCGAAGCTTACGCCTGTAATTCTTTGGGCAACCAAGGCGGGAGAATCACTTGCCAGGAGGTTTGAGACCAGCCTGGGCAACATAGCGAGACTCCATGTCTATTTACAAAAAATTTTTAAAAACTAGCCAGGCATCTTGGCATGTGCCTGTGGTCCCAGCTACTGGGGAGGCTGAGGTGGGAGAATCTCTTGATCCCAGAAGTTTGAGGATGCAGTGAGTTATGATCACACTGCTGCACTCCAGCTTGGGTGACACAGCAAGATACTATCTGAAAAAAAAAAAAAAAAAAAAAAAAGAACTGGAGGGATTAAGGGGAATCAGCAAAGGAGGCAGAAACAATCCAGTAAGGTAAAAGGAGAACTAACAGCAAGGAAGTACTAGAAGTCAACTGCAAGGAAGTACTAGAAGGTCAATTGAAGAAAGCATTTCAAGGAAGGAGTGGTTAAACTGTGCCAAATGGTAATGATGGATCAAAGAGATGAAGACTGAGAACTTCTCACTGGATTGGTGGCATGAAGGTCACTGGTCATTTTAACAAGAGCAGCTTTGTTAAGCAGTGGGGTGAATGCCTGATTGAAGTGGGTTTAAGAGAGAGTGGAAAGAGAAATTTGAGATAGCAAGGGTAGAAAACTTGAGGAGCTCTGCTGTAAAGGGGAACAAGAGCAATAGGATGATAGCTAGAGGTAAATGCAGGACCAAGAATGGGTTTTAAAAAGATGAGAGACACTACACATTTTTAAGCTGAAACCCATGCTCTGGTAGAGAGGGAAACGCACTGATGCAGAAGGCAGAGAAGAGAAATGCTGGAGCCAGCCAGTGCAGCAGATGAGAGGAGATGAGAGCTGGTATACAAATGGACAGAGGGGCTGAAAGAGGGCAGGGATAGTGTACCCTCCATCAAAGGAGAGGGTGCAGAGTCTGAGACAGTCATGGGGGTCTGGTAGACAGACTGGAGGGAGTATGGTCCAGACATTCTGATTGCTTCTATTTCTAACTGCTATTTAGGGTTTCTACCATCCCTTTAAAAAAAAACTAAGTTTAAAACAACACAAGGACTTCATGCAAACCTGGTATACCTGGATTTTCTCTTTTTGAAAATAGCAAAATTATTTACTAAAAAAAAAAGCAGAAACAGGAAAAAAATCACCTCTATTAAATTCTGAAGAGGCAGCACAGTTTCATGTGAGAACTGGCCCACTAACATTTGTACTGACCCTCCTTCAAATTGAGAAAGTCCCCAAAATGAAGAAACTTACAAGGAATGCTTCATTGAACTCAAAAGAGCAAGGAAATTGCCTCTGAAGCTGATGAACACAGTCAAGCCACTGCAGAAACACTGGGCAACGTTCATTCAGATCATCCGAGTTCTCCCCATGACCACACCGGTCAGCAAATTTATGGCCAAAATCCAGCCACTCCATTTCCACGAGGACCTGGAAACCCTGCAGGGAAGCATCCAGGAGAGACCATTTGTGCTAGACTATCCAGACTGTGACAGTCCTAAGCCTGGTGTCACAGAAAGCAATCCCCTCTAACAGCCTCCCAGAAAGCCCACCCGGCCTTGCCCTTTGGTGGAAGGCTCTATCCCTGATGAGGCACACACTTAGGGAAATTTCCCAATTCCCTGAACTCCATTCCATGATCACTAAAATGGTACTGACTGCGTTTATCTAAGCCTTTCTTGAATGTGTATTTTTAGCCTCTTGTGTTCACTATATAAAAACCACACTTTTCCCCTAAATTTCTCTTAACATTTCTGCCTCTGGTGTTACAAAGTCAAGTCTGTAAAATCCTTCTATACCCCAAGTTTAATTAATACTTGCATATATTTTAGGGTACTTTATGATTTTTCTTTCATCTTTAACCCAACAGATGGTTATTTCAGGTAGAGCTGCTTCTCCACAGAACACTCTGGTAATATCTAGCATGCCAAGATCCTTTTACAGACTCCTTATTTTCCTGAGGTAGCTAAAAACTTTTACAAGTAGATAGACTGTAAAGGAAAATATGTCTATATTCTCAATACCTTGTTACCCATAATCTGCCCCATTTTAAGAGGTGCAAGAACTGTGGGAGGAACCACCACAATTTAGCTCATGGCATAAAGGAACAATGACCAAAACAGAAATTTCACTTTCTTTAACCGAATCACCACTCCCAAAACTGGTATCACTCCTGAGACGTTTCCCTGGCTCATCCTGAAGTACCAACCCCTCCCATTTGGATGGGCTCACCTCTATGGTTCGGTAATAAGGGTCCAGCAAGAGCTTAGCCAATGCCACAATCTGGGGGGTGCGGTCCCAGCCATCTGAGCAGTGTACTAGCACCGGCCGCTGATCCTGATCCACAGCATGCACTACCAGAAGCGCTGATTTCAGAAGCACAGACAAGTGATGGAGCCATTTTGTGCTTTCAAGAGCTGATAGCCAACTATAAAAACAGGAGAGGATTAGAAAATGCTGATTTTTTTATGATTTACTGCATCATGCTCAATGATTGTCAAATGAAAAAGCAATTTCCAAAGATTTCTCTCTCCAAATATAACACTGCCAAAACAAAAAAATCTGTGTGTTTATAAAGCATGTCTCAGGATGAGGCCCAAGCCCTACTATACAATAGAGAAGAGCCTTAGAAATAGGGGCTACAATTAATAGCACACCTTTTGTTCCAAAATCTGTATGGATGATTCCCCGGGCAAAATATTTGACATTTTTCAGTCCATGGTATAAGGAAAGTGGCTCTTTCTGGAATCTTCTCCTGAATAAAAAATGTAGCCACTTCTGAGATGTAAAACAGAAGATATTTATATTTAATGATCAGCAACTACGCCCAACAAGTTCTCAAAAAAAAAAGAAAAGAAAAGAAAAGAAAAACTCATGAATACAAATATATCTATGAGACATAAGCTGGATGCCATATACAAGAATGGTACACACAACCCTGCCTATGACCCAGACTGTAACACTTACCACTGTTTAATTCTTTAATGTTTACTGACTAAAACAAGATGAGCCCAATCTGATAATTTATACTGATACAAATTAGTATACCAATGGCCACACAGTATTGCTGGGCTCAACACAGACTGGATTCAGCAGCGATCTAGGAAGAACCTTTTTTTGAAAGACTTTTAGAGGCCGGGCGCAGTGGCTCATGCCTGTAATCCCAGCACTTTCGGAGGCTGAGGTGGGTGGATCACTTGAGGTCAGGAGTTCCAGACCAGCCTGGCCAACATGGTGAAACCCCATCTCTACTAAAAATTCAAAAATTAGCTGGGCATAGTGGCACACGCCTGTAATCCCAGCTACTCAGGAGGCTGAGGCAGGAGAATCACTTGAACCCGGGAGGTGGAGGTTGCAGTGAGCTGAGATCAGGCCACCGCACTCCAGCATGGATGAGAGAGAGAGACTCCATCTCACTTTCGGAGTATCAGATAGCAGTAGCTGCCCCTTGGGAGTAATCACAAGCTAATCACACTTGCTTTTTAAACTCTGTTGCATTTTGTTTCTTGTGCTTTCCCTCACCCCTCCCAATCCCTAAAAAGGAGTTGATTTTTCCCAAATGTGATCAGATTTGTAGTTAAGATCACAAGTCAAGTCTTTCAAACACTGAGTCAGAGGAAGAAATAAACATTTCTGTCAGGGGACTGTGGGAAGGCTGTAAAGGCCTACTAAACCCTGTGGAATAAGTATGAAATTTTGGCATAGTCTAAGGAGGTGGGGGTCTTTCCAGGCAAAGAGACAACAGAATGCAGTGCATAAGTACTGGTTGTATATGGATTTGTTTGGACTACCAACCAGACTGTGACTCCTCAGAGGGCTAACACTATGTCTCAGTCATAACTGTACCCCCAGCACAGTGCCTAGCATACAGTAGGGAGTCCCACTGTTTAATGAATTGTAAGTCTGTTATGGGTAAAAATCCAATCGTAAGACTTTCTATCTCCTAGCAGGTACCTGAGAAACATTTTTTCCTGATGGATCAATTGTTTATTTCATTCCTCACATATTCTTGAAAGGAACTAAAAGATAAGGCTTAGGAGAACAAATACTAAATTATCTCCTAGCACCTGAAGAAATGGTAAACAAGAGAACCGGTGTGAGGTTCTTTTGAACCTAACTAAACTATTATTTAATACCAGTTGGTGTTGTCTGTGACTAATGAAGCTGTACTCCAAAACCTGCCAGCCAAGGAGGGGCTGCTGAGAGACTCCCCATTCCCTTGTCCTGTTCTCAACCTGCACTAGAAGCCTACCATTCCCCTATCCTCCACAGCCCCAAACACAGGCCGGGGGCCTAATTACAGCTGCCCATCACTGCTACAGCTGCTTTTTACCCATGAGGGAGACTTCAGTGCAGCATTATGATTTGCTGCCAAATACATAAAAGCATTACCTTTAATAAAATCCCCAAGACATTTATGTGGACCAGGTGAGGGCTAATTCTATCTTTTTTGACTCTGATAGCTCTTTAAGAATTTTAATATATGGAGGGTATTAGATCATGTAGTGTTGATTACATGTCTTTCATTTTATAGACAGGAAAACTGAGATCTACAGTAGTTAAACCCCTTGGCCAAGGTTACACAGTTCGCGGCCGATCTCCTGGGTCCTTAGTAAGGCTCCTTCTACATACCACCCTAGGGAAGAAAGCGCTGCTAGCTGGGACCTGGAACTGTGTAGCAAATGCAAATGGCTAATCCCCAAAGGAGGCAGCAAGCTCAATTCTCCGGTCAGGCTTTCCCCAAAGGCACTGCTTCATCCTCTTGGCTGATGACAACTACGGTGAATTTAATCATTTGCTACTGGCAGTCAATATAAGTGGTTTAGGCAGCATCTGATTTAATAAATCAAATAAAGAACGCAGTAAAACTTGATGTGATCATCAGATCTACTGAATAGGACCCAGAGAAACAACTATGGGCTCCAGCACAAATACCAGAAAAAAGAAAATTCTGTCTTCTCTGGCACCTATCTCTGGCTTCCTGAAATAGTAAAACAGGATTTTTAAATACTTATCTGTCCATATTTGTTTTACAGAGCATTCTTCCTAATTTATCTTGTATTCAATCAGTACCCTTGGAGGGGGTATTAGTTCACCTTCCTCACTGCAAATGCCAGCCATTCATATTTAATAAGCAATAAGAATCAGGATAATATGCTTAGTAAATGAGAACAGTTTAGAAATTGAAAGCAGATGTAAAAGGAACTGACTTAATGGCAAGTTTAAACCCTTTAGAACATGATGAATAAATTCTGACTTTTCATGATAAAACATCCCAGTTCAAAACAGGTTATGTATCACTATGGGACATCAGAAACTGAAGAATTAAATTTCTTTGGGCTAAAAATGACGTGGAAGGGAAAGGTCCCAGGACAAACAGTAAGGTAATGCTTCTGTTTTGATGCTGAGATTTCTTCTGTGCTGCAGATTTTAAAACCTTTCAAATGGCTGTATTTTCTCCCAACTCTTCCTCTGTGCTGCCACATTTCAGACCCAGCAAGGAGATACTTGCAGAGACTGGTCTGGTAACTGAAGATTACCAAGAAACAGAAGGAAAGACTGCTCCAAATTAATTTTTTTTTCTTTTTTTCCCCCTTAGTTCAAGGAAAGAAGCAAACTTATTATTTAAGAGCAATGCAAAATGAAAGCCAAGGCCAAGGACTTACTTTCCCGGATCTGGCATCTGAGTGCACAGCAACCGCAGAGACTGAAAACTCCTCCGAATAGAATGAATGTTTGCCATCCCCATAAACACAACTTCACAGTTTGGGTAATACTCTGGAGAGAGTAACAATAAAGAGAACACAAATACGTTGAACTTAAAGCCCACATGGCCAAATTTAAAAGCAAACTGGCTATAAAACAAACCCACTGCAGCTTCTGATTAACGAAACTGAAATGTTTTGAAATGCTTAACTATTAGCCCAATCCTTTATAATAAGAGGAACACACTGAATTTTAGCTATCTTTTCAAAAAGCGTGAAAAGGGAAGGTTAGATTTGTAAAGAAGATACTGACATAAAATAAAAGCTATTATTTTTTAAAAGAAAGGCCTACTTCGATCTCACTCTGGCTTTACTTCTTGGGCCTTATCTAACTTGTGGCTTTGAAATCTCTTTGAAAAGAACTCCACAGAACAATGCGTTCACACATTCAAATTTCACCTTGGTACAGCTGCTTTCAATTTCCAGCTTAGACCACATCTGAACAAAGAGCCTGGTGCCTCTGCCTGTGCCATAGGCACTGAGGGGGGTCCCTCCTTGGGGAAAGCTAGCATTCCAACAGTAATGGTGTTACAGCTCAGGACAGAGATACCTTACTAGGGTTCTGTATTTACTGCTTCAATTTTCACCCCAGGTTTTCTAAGGAGAGGCCCTTGAGGAGTTTGCTACAAGGCCAGTGGTGAGCATACCCTCTGTCAAAGGCAACAAAAAGCTTTTAGACGGCTGAGAAATTGAGCCCACTAAAGCAGCAGCTTCCAAACATGAACAGGTCTTATTATGGGGAAGATCTGCTTTCCTTATCACCTACAAGTTGGCACAAGGAAGGAAGATTATGTGACTTCACTGCACCTCCTCCTCCATTTCTCCTCAGAAAAGAACATACAGTGTTAAGAATCCAAAGAGAAGCTCTGGCACTCTCACGACAGGATGGATGAGGAATATGGCTTGCCACTTATTTCAAATTGGGAACTAAGTCTCAGTTGGGCAAGGGCTACACTCACAAGGAGAAAGTATGGGGAACAAAGCACCATACACCTCACCTGGGCATTCGCAGCCTCCTCCTTTGGCTCGGTTTGCCACAGCAGCTGCATAGGAGCGTGCATCCAAGATCAAAAGCTTCTGCGGTTGGATGGCTAAACTCTCTGCTCCTGAAGCATTTGACAGAGAAGAATCTAGGGACACAGAGGGAGAGGGCATACTAAATGAGCCTGTCTCTCCCAGAACTGTGCAGAATTAGACCCACAAGCACATCTTATGGCACAAAAAAGGCTCAATAAAATGAAATCCCCTAACCAAAACCCTTGATACATAGGATTTTTCTCTTTTTTTCTATGTGGCCTTCTTATGAAAGATGAGAAGGATTTATTCTCCAAAACTGACTCCCAGAGTACACATGGGGTTCACACAGCCCAGTCTCTTATACTTCATTTCTGTATCTGTTGTCCTTTCATGAAGCCTGGCATTTCCTGCCATGGTCTGCAGATACTGCAAGTCCTCTATTACATAAACACTCCATTTTTGTCACAATGGCAAGAAAGACAACAAACACACTAATATCTTGATTCAGGTTTGAAACAAAGGGTCTTCTGATTCTCTGCCAAGACCCATGACTCCTCAATCAATCCCATCAAGTGAAGCTCTGCACATTCACTTCTATAAAAGTAAATCTATGTCTTGTAAGGAAGAGGCCATTTCAAGAAAAGGTTCTTAGATGCTATAAAAATCATTGCCATGGGTCCAGGGAGCACCTTACCGAACTCCACGTCAGAAAGGTCTCCCCCATTGGGAAAGTCTCGAGAAGTGTTCCTAGTTGACAGCTTGCTGCCACTCGATCGGGAGTCAGAGGCACAAGCTTTGGCTACTGACTGTACCAGATGCTCATCATCTGCATTTCGCCAGCCCCACCAGCTAACCTCTGGCTGTCCACAGCGGGCAATGACAGCTCCATTGCTCTGGTGCCTGTGTGAGGAACAAGAGACAACAACTGTACCCATTCAGATGCTCTCTGTACTCACACAAAATAGATTTTAAGTGCCTTAATGAACAGTCTAATTCTAGGTAAGTGTTGGGTCAGCTTCAAGTCCTCTCAGTATTAAAGAGGGTAGAAATCTTACACAACCAACAAGAACAAACAACAAAACCTGTGTGTCTTTCTCAATTACCATAACATCACGGAGATCCCTGTAAAGTTACCCAAAAAAATGACTAACAGGGGTCAGGCATGGAGGCTCACTCTGCAATCCCAGCACTTTGAGAGGCTGAGGCAGGAGGATCACTTGAGCCCAGGAGTTCAAGACCAGCCTGAGCAACATAGCAAGACCCCATCTTTACAAAAAAGTTTTTACAAATTAGCCAGGCATGGTAGCACATGCCTGTAGTCGCAGCTACTCAGGAGGCTGAGGTGGAAGGATCCCTTGAACCCAGAAGGCTGAAGTTGCAGAAAGCTATGATTGTGCCACTGCACTCCAGCACTCCAGCTTGGGTGACAGAGCAAGACCCCATTTCCAAAAAACAAAAAAGAATTAATGTGTACTCTTAGTGAAAATAAATCAATATTCGTAACTTAAATCTATAGGTACTACACTAATTCTGCTACCCAATAGTGAAATCTGCTACCTTCTTAATGCTGAACCAAGAGCCCGCCTCTGGGAATAAAACATTTACCTGGCCCACAGTGAACTGCTTTACAAAATCTCCTGAGATTTCATGAGTCACAGACTGCTCTTATAATAGGCAGATAGCTCAATGAGCCAGCTACCCTTCCTAGGGCTCTTAAGAAAGAGAAGAAGAGCATCAACCTCAGAAAACCATACTCTGACATATCCTTTTCCAATAAGACAGACCAGAAATCACAGTCTACTTTAAGGTGCTATTAAAACCCAGACTTTTCCTAGTTAGGCAATTTTAACTGATAAAAAGTTAGAAAAATTCTATTACTTGGCAGTAAAGAGGAATAAAGTTCTGATACAGGCTAGGACACTGATGAACCTCAAATATGTTATGACAAGTGAAAGAAGTCAGTCACAAAAGGCAACTTATTGTACGACAATTAACATGAAGTATCCAGAATAGGCGAATCTATAAAGATGGAAGTAGATTTCTGCATGTAGTGACTATTATAAACTCGTAGTTACTTAAGGGAGCTTGCCTAATTCTAAGTTGGGGTTACTTAAAACGAGTATGTTTCTATATAAAACTGAAGCACTCTATGTTTTACTAGCAGGGGCTTCATCCATTGGACATCTTAATTATTCAGGGCTAGGGTGGCTGGGTGCCCTGTGAATGGGTTTTTTGGGACGATGAAAATGTACTGTAATTTGTTTTTACTCCTAAAACTCACAAATAAGTTAAATTTGGCACTAATCAAATTCCACTGAAATCACCAGTTTGCTTGTAGTTTTTAAAGCCTCCCTCCCTGGGAGACAAGTAGCTGTAAGTACTTGTGTATTGCCAACATGCTCAACTGGCTCACGTGCTGAATGGGGCCAAAATAGAAATAAAACCTCAATGATTCTTTATAAAATGTCTCCTAGCAAATAACAGGCAACCACTGAGCTGAATGACTCCAAACCCTGCACAAGAGGCTGGTTGGGCCTTTCCTGAACATCCTCCTCTTCTTCAATGCTTCCCAGCAGTGCCCAAGAGGAGCAGTAGATGGCGCTCTTCAGCCTGGATCTTGGGTTTTAGGGGACACTGCATTATAGTAGCTATTAGATTTCAACTGGACTATTGCAATAAACAATTATGTTTTCTGCAGTCTTCTAAAATGCTTCAGACTACATGAAAGATAATTCAAACACTACAGTTAAAAATCACTAAAGGAATGCATTTCTATCACTAACAGAACCAGGCAAAGTATAAAAATTATGATGTCCAACAGATAAAGCCCTCCCTACTAAAACACAGAATGCTTCAATTTTATATAGGAACAGAATTGTCTTAAGTAACCTCAACTTAGATTTAGGCAAGCTCCCTTAAGTAACTAGGAGTTTAGAATAATCACCACATGCACAAAGGAAAAAGCTGTGAACTGCACTACAGATGGGTGCCCTTTACATCATCTTGCTATGTTAGAGCAATCTCTACCTTCAGTTATAAATCCAATTAAGTGCTCTCTCATCACAGTAGGACAAAGCCCTAATCAAGCGCTGGTTCAGCATGGTGCTGTCAAGTAACTGCTGCTGGCAACCTCAGGAATCATGACCCAATCTACAGACAACTAAATTCAGGAAATGGATGTCAAGAGTTCCAGGCATCCTGCCACCTAGGCTGGCAAAGCAGAGCATGGTGGAGGATCCGATTCTTCCACACGCCCCTTACAAAGCTCCCAAATACTACAGCAACCCAGTCTGCATCTCAGCGATACAAGACACATGTTCTGAGACAGAGCCCAGTTCCAGGAAACCTGCCTGATTTTGCATGGATGACTACACCAAGAACTTTGTGATCTTTTGAAAGACTTTCTCTGAAAAACTGCAAATAAAATTTTTCATTTATATATCCTCTTGTATCTCTAGAAAAAGGGGGGGAAAACCTAGGGTGCATGCCCTCTAGAATTAATTTTAGAAGGTGCATGCCCTCTAGAATAAAATTTAGAAAAAAAGGAAGTTTTTCTTCAACCAGCCCTCTTAAGCTTCTCTTCCCAAAGGGAGAATTCACCTAAAGCCTCTTATTTTGCAAATAAGAGTACCTTCCCCCTTTTGGTCAAAGTCAGCAAGCCCCACAGATGCCAGGGCTGCTGACCTAACACAGTTGTTGGCCAGAGCAGCAACTGGCTGCTTTCCCCATTCCAGCTGAGCTGATCATTGATAAGACTCATAAATCCCTTCAGCTTTCACTACTCTCTAGTTCCTGTAGCATCCTTACCACTTGAATGACAGGTAAATTTGGTGACTGACTTTTCTAGGGGTGTCTGAAAACAACAGTGATGAGAATTGAGATTAAAAACGTAATGAGTTCCACTGGGCCAGAGCAAATACTTTTCCATCTCTCTCCATTCAGAGTGGGCATCAGAGTTTGCCTTTAGTAGACTAAATGAACAAGCTGGTTACCTCTGTAGGAATTCCACAAGGAGACAAATCCCTTCCTACAATCTCAATATTTCAGTGGAATGAAGTTTCTAACTGTAAGCCACTGGATTGGCCCAACTCAGGGAGAGTCCAAAAAGCCGGCAAACTGGGAAAATGAAATGGAGAATGTAAACATTACAAAGAGATGACATCCAAAACATTTCCAGAATAAGAAGGAAGGACTTCTTTAAAATTTAATAGGATTCTGTGAGAACTAAGATATTCAATGAATTACAAAAGCAGCACTCAAGAGATTTAACCTATTCCAAATGCTGGTACAGAAGCTCAGTGTTTATAGCCCCTCATTTAGAATCAGAACATATCTACAAAATAAGAACTACCATTCCCATTGTATTCATTAGGAACAGACTGAGGTCAGTTAGGGAACTTATTCAAGGTGCCTTAGCAAGAAGTCTAAGAATATACCTGAATTCAGATCTGTGATTCCAAAATCTGTGCTCCATCACCATGCCACCATCCCCATCTAGAACTTGCATCCCATGGCTCTCATGCCTCTGATCACTGAAATCTTCTATCTAGTCATGCCTCAGTCTTCTTCTCTAAATGCTTCCTCTCGAAACAGAGTTCTTCCACATGTCAAAGTTTCAACCACAAAGACAATCAGAGCCAACTCGACCCTATATTCCCAAAGATCACTTTCTAAGACTCATCTCTCAATCCAAAAGCCCTGCTAACAGCTGAAGCTAAATGCTTAGTAAGCACATTATCTTCTCACAGAATGTAAGAAGGATATTGAAATAGCAAGTCCAGCCACTTTACAACTAAAACTTTCTTATCTGTTTCAAATGAACAACCAGCTAGTGTTCTGAATGCAGTCAGTACTGATGTGTTACTGGAGGAGAAGCTTTAACAATAAGGAAGTACAGCCTTGCCTAGAAAGTTCTCTGAACTCTCCCCACCCTTCCCAGGTTAGCAGCAGCAGAGGCAGCAGACCATATGCAGCAGGCAGCAGCACCAGCCCAAGCTGGGACTGGTCCAGTTTAACTTACCTGTAGATGACGGCAGGGATGCGCTTCCAGGACCTGAAACTTGATACACTTTCCAGTTCTTTGTCAGTGATCCAGGCAGGCACTATGAGCTCTTGAGGATAGCTACCACATAATCTAAAGAGAAGATGAGAAGTGGGGAGAGTCAAGGGGATAAGAGAGGGAGAGAGAAAACGGGAGAGAGAGAGAGACACTAGGTGAGCCAGCATAAGGATGATGATCTCACTGCCACAGAACCAGTTAAAGGCAATGAGGCGCTTTATTCGAGTTTTGGACTCCTCAACAGAATGGGTTACCATAAGTGTGTTTTGTTTTGTTTTGTTGCCTTAAATGTTTACTTATGTGTATACAACAAATGATACTATCTTGAATTGTTCCACTTGATGCTACCTTTTGGGAATCTGGCAATCTTAACTATCAATGAAAAAAAGGGGAGTCGAGGGTCAGCTCTTTATACTCCATTACAACTCTTCTGCTGTAACAAGTACATAGGTTATTTCTAACTACATGAGCGCCCAGTCCAATTACAGAACTGAGAGTCCGTGTCAGTTCTACCAGACCCTCAGGGAAGGAAAAAAGCCCACAATTGCAAGTTTCCAGAGACTTCACAGGATTAACTCATTCTTTGATTTGAACCAAACAGGGTGTCATCCTTATAGGTAACAGGTGCAGCCATGGGTATGCAAAACCAACACAAGCCAGTCTATCTGCATACACAGCCTCAGTCCCATTGAACCAGGTTAGTAATGTGACTAAGCTATTAACCATAATTTCCATAAAACATACTTCAGAACAAATTATACTGGGGGCGGGGGGATAAGCTTTCTTTTAATTAGGGAAGATCCCAGCTACAGTCAAGCCGGTATCCTAGGAAGCAATACTTCCGATAGATTTTTACTTACAGGACAATGTCTCTCTCTGGATAATCCAATCTTCTTTTTTCAATAGTGAAGGCAATAAGGCCTTTAATCCAAATCCTAAAACACACAAACTCCACCAACACCACCAACCCCCTGCCCTAGCCTATCCTATACATAGCAGAAAGCGCAGAAAAACACAAAATGGCTTAGGATTTGGGGGTTTTGATCATTTTGCACTAAATCTCTCCTCAATTTCCAGAAGAGGAGACTTCTGGAATTTTCAGGAATTTAAAAGCCACTGAACAAAAGAGAATGGCTATGACTAAGAGTAGCTATACAAACTTCCTAACACCTATTCACAAACTCCTAAAAATAAGCTGGGAGCCAGTAATGATGGTTAATATCTAACCATGAATCTCATTCCCTTTATTATGTATTAAACTCAAGAGTAAACTTGGCTCTCACTCTTCTACCTTTGTAGTAGGAAGAACTTTCAACATCCTGTTGTTTCCCACCACCCCCCATTTTGTTTTATGGTGGTGATAACATCCTAAAGACTGGTTCTGAGGTATAACTGGTAAACTCCTTGAGACAGTTGTTCTGTTACCCGGGCTAGAGAGCAGTGGAGCGGTCATGGCTCACAGCAGCCTCGACCTCCTGGGCTCAAACAACTCTTCTACTTCAGCCTCCCCAGTAGCTGGGACTACAGGCATGCACCACCATGCCCAACTAATTTTTTTTTCTTTGAGATGGAGTCTCGCTCTGTCGCCCAGGCTGGAATGCAGTGGCATGATCTCGGTTCATTGCAAGCTCCACCTCCCGGGTTCACGCCATTCTCCTGCCTCAGTCTCCTGAGTAGCTGGGACTACAGGCGCCCGCCACCACGCTGGCTAATTTTTTTGTATTTTTAGTAGAGACGGGGTTTCACTGTGTTAGCCAGGATGGTCTCGATCTCCTGAGCTCGTGATCCACCCGCCTCGGCCTCCCAAAGTGCTGGGATTAGAGGAATGAGCCACCATGCCTGGCCAAATTTTTAAGAAATTTTCTGTAGAGATGAGGTCTCACTATGTTGCCCAGCCTAGTCTCAAACTCCTGGGCTTAATCAATCCTCTATCTTGGCCTCTCAAGAAGTTAATTTTTAAAAGCCGAATTGGGGATTATTTTCCAACAAGTCTGTCTTAATTCACAGTTTTTTTTTACTTGATCTAATTTTCTAAACATTCTGTTCATTGTCCTATAGGTACTACACTCCCAGTAGTCAGCTCTTCAGTATGCACTACCTACTCACTTGTGGATAAACAATTTCCAGTATAGGTTACACTCAGGAAAGCCTAATGCAGCCACAGGCTCTCTGAGGCCGCCCCCTCATCCAGCATTCACCCTCCTTCTTTGCTTTGACTCATCACTGAGAACAGGCAAAAGTATAAAAAGTCTGCAGCTCCAACTCTTCAAAACACCCTGGGTTCTCAACTCCCTGGAGAAGGTCCACATTAAGAACTGTGTATAGCAATTAGCTATAGCTTTTCCAGTGAAAACTCTGACGGCTAGCCACAAACAGACCAGGAAAATGCCCGTCATAATTTGAGACAGCTAAGAGGACCGCAGAATGATTAATGATGCAGGGAAACGTAGGAGAAGGATATATATATTTTTTTTTTTTATTTTTTTTATTTTTTAAGACAAAGTCTCGCTCGGTTGCCCAGGCTGGAGTGCAGTGGCACAATCTCAGCTCACTGCAAGCTCCGCTTCCCAGGTTCATGCCATTCTCCCGCCTCAGCCTCCCCAGTAGCTGGGACTACAGCCACCTGCAACCATGCCCGGGTAATTTTTTGTATTTTTAGTAGAGACGGGGTTTCACCGTGTTAGCCAGGATGGTCTCGATCTCCTGACCTCATGATCCTCCTGCCTCAGCCTCCCAAAGTGCTGGGATTACAGGCGTGAGCCACCGCGCCTGGCCAAGAAGGATATAGTTAAAGATTTAAGATATTTAACTATCATGGACAATTTTGTTTTATAGAAATTTGGATCACCAAAATCATAGTAGTTAACTGTCCTCCCCCACCAACGCACTTACACATTTTAAGGAACTGGGTAATGGCTAAATGGTTACATTAATTTTTTTTTTGCGACAGAGTCTCACTCTATCACCCAGGTTGGAATATAGTGGTGCAATCTCAGCTCACTACAACCTCCACCTCCCAGGTTCAAGCAATTCTCCTGCCTCAGCCTCCCAAGTTGCTGGGACTACAGGCATGCACCACCACGCCCAGCTAATTTTTGTATTTTTAGTAGAGACAGTGTTTCGCCATGTTGGCTGGGCTGGTCTCGAACTCCTGACCTCAGCTGATCTGCCTTGGCCTCCCAAAGTGCTGGGATTGCAGGTGTGAGCCACCATGTCCAGCCAAATAAAGGTTACATTAATATTTAATGGTTAAATGATCATAGCAGTGAAGTTGGTTTTAGATCAATATATTAAAGGACAGAATAATACAGACTGAGCATCTTTAATCCAAAAATCTGAAATGCTCCAAAATCCAAAACTTTGAGTGCTGACATAATGCCACAAGTGGAAAATTCTACACTTGACCTCATGTGATGGGTCACAGTCAAGTCACAGTCAAAACTTTTCGTAAAAAACATCATGCATGAAATTATTTAAAATATTGTACAAAATTACCTTCCAGCTGTATAATGTGTATATGAGACAAATAATTTTGTGTTTAGACTTGGGTCCCAGGCCCAAGATAATCTCATTATGTTCATGCAAATATTCCAAAACCTGAAAAAAATCCAAAATCTGAAATATTTACAGTCCCAAGAATTTCAGATAAGGGATACTCAACTGTACTTATGTCTATTTCACACCACCTGGAGTAAAATTACAGTCATAAAAACTAGTTCATAAATGTTCTGTCACTGCTTATGAGACCACTGATCCTCTCTCTAATGTGATGCCAAGTGGTGATGAGAAAAATGGTAACTGCCTGCCTACAGGCAAATACAATATTATTTAGACATGCATGTACCAGAAAAAACAGAGGCCTAGAGGGGGTAAAAGGGAAGGTTCTAGGATCCTGTTAAGTAAGGATCACTTTCCACTCCAATGATAGCAACGGGAACAGAAGATTCAATAAATACTCTGAAGATCATGCCTTTAGATTTAATAAATAAAACCATTTCAAATAAAAAGTCTAAGTTCAAATGTTCTGCCACATGAGAATTGCGGTTTCTGCAAAGGCACTGGCTGTGAAACAGTCCACAGGGACCCATATAACTCACTTGTACTTCTCATTGATGTTGGAAATCCTCCAGGCGTTGTTCATATCAAAACCCATCCTCTCCACCTCGTTTTTAAACCTTGAAGTTACATGCTCCCCTAGAGGCCAAAGATAAACAGCAGAAAGGAAGAAATGAATACCATTTTGCAAAACAGGTGGAATAAAAACAAAGAAATATACATATGTTACATATATGTAAATATATATATATTTTTTGAGACAGGATTCCACTCTGTCACATAGGCCGGAGTGCAGTGGTGTGATCTCAGCTCACTGAAACTTCCGCCTCCCAGGTTCAAGTGATTCTTGTGCCTCAGCCACCCAAATAGCTGGGATTACAGGTGCATGCCACCATGACTGGCTAATTTTTGCACTTTCAGTAGAGATGGGGTTTTACCACATGGGCCAGGCTGGTCTCGAACTCCTGGCCTCATGTGATCTGCCCGCCTCGGCCTCCCAAAGTGCTGGGATTACAGGCGTGAGCCACTGCGCCCAGCCTGTGTATTTTTAAAGGTAAGAATTGTATAAATAATAAAGTAACATATATTATATAGTTTTAGTTTAGAAAGATCCCTGTCAGGTTAAGATTATAAAGAGGAAAGAAATTAATTCTGATCAAGAGTTATGTTATCTCATCTAACCCTTACAATCATCTCTGAGAACAGTATCACTGAGCTCATTTTACAAAGGACAAAATTAAAACAGGTTATTATGGCAGGCCTGTCTGGCCCCAGAAGCCATGCTCTTGTCCTACACTGGCTACTTGCCTACTTCCACACTCAGACTGACAGTACACTTAATAAGAAATAAAATCAATAACAAGATCACCACGAGTAGCAATACAGAACTATAATTCCTCATCCAAAACCCTTTGGTCCAAATTTTAGAACTTGAGAGTTTTCCAAACTTTCGTTAAGGTAAGACAGCGAATATAATATTAGGCTCACATGCTTAACAAGATCTCCTTAAACAAATATTAATATTTCTTTCGTGAAAGGTATAGATCATTCATACCAGGTGGGATAAATAAAGCAACAAATAGCCTCATGTCAGCTCAGATCAGGTCCAGCCAAGACACCAAATAGGGTATGAAAAACATTCTGGTTTCCAGAGCCTTTTAGATGATGGCAGGTTAACAGGTCATGGAATCATAACTGCCAGCCAGGAATCTCAGGAAACACCATACTACTAAGTGCTGATTATTTGCAAGAACAGCCACCCAAGCTGGTATAATCTGGCTATATTTGCCCTAATGAATCTGGCTTTATCTTCCTTAAAAAAGCAAAACAGAGGTAGAAACGAAGCTAACATAAATTCAGTAAATCTAAAATAACTTTCTTCCTTGAAAACATACACAGTCCTAGGGCAGCATGTTATTTTAAAAAATATTAAGCAGAACCTCTAATATATAGTGGTACAGGTTGTAAAATAAGTGCTAGCAGGGCTGGAAGAAACCACAACAACAAAAGCACAAAACAGATTTCACTTTAGTGTTCAGAGTATAAAGCTTTGTTCTCCCTGGGAGAGGAGCTACAGAATAGGAAACAGCAATTACTTGGATGGAAGACAATTCTGTTAAACTACTTCCCATTTAAACTGCTTTTCTTGAGCTCAAGCTAGGTATTATACATTTCCTGAAGGAGAGCTATAAAAAGATGAGGTTGAGAGAATATGAGGTGCAAGAAGAAATAAAAACTAAATCCATCCCATTTTGGAAAAGTTTTAGAAGCAATGTAGCAGGCTTCCAAACAGGAAAAAACTATCTGAATTGGGGTGCCATCTGTCTACAAATTGCAAGGAATATTGACCATCAAGAATACTAGGCCAGACGCGGTGCCTCACACCTGTAATCCCAGCACTTTGGGAGGCTGATGCAGGCAGATTGCTTGAGCCCAGGAGTTCAAGACCAGCCTGGGCAACATCTGGTCAACCCCATGGGCAACCCCATCTCCACAAAAATGCAAAAATTAAGTTGTGGTGGTCCATGCCTATAGTCCCAGCTACTTGAGAGGCTGAGGTGGGAGGATCACCTGAACCTAGGGAAGTTGAGGCTGCAGTGAGCCATCATCACACCATTGCACTCCAGCCTGGGCAACAGAGTGAGACCCTGTCTCAAAAAAAGGGGAAAAAAACAAAACAAAACGAACAAAAAAAACAGACAAGGAGTCTTTAATTCATAATCCCAATCTAAAAGCTGCAAAACTGTGGCAAATTCCAAGTTCATTAAGAGATTTTTTCCCCCGACTCTGGGATATAGCTCCAAGTCTTTGCAAAAGCTGTAAGTATTTCATTAATGATTTATTTTTTTTGTGCTTTTCTTGAACTGTACATTAATGATCTTTTACATTAACACCTCTATCTCAGGATAAAACACATAGATACCCTTAAAGGATCTTGTGATTTAAAAATAACCACTGGCAAAATAATAACAGTAACAATCACTATCACTAGCAATTTACTTCATAGAACCATTTCCCCAAAGAAGGACTTAGAACCACCATCCAGAGCACAACATTCTGAGCTATACGCAGAAATATATACTGACTAGCAGGTATAGAAAATCTGTTATTTCGAGTTCTTTGGGAATGGGAATGAGTTTTAATTATTTTTATATCCTCTAAGGCAGTGACTTCATAAACTCTGAAACTGACCATCACAACCCACAATAAGAATTATGTTTTACAACACAATACAACAAACATGTTTTAATTTATTCAGTTTTTGAGAGACCGGGTTTTCCCTCTGTTGCCTAAGCTGGATTTGAACTCCTAAACTCAAACAATCTTCCCACCTCAGCCTCTTGAATAGCTAGGACTATAGGTAGACACTGTGCCCAGCTAATACAACATACATTATTTTTTTGAAAGCATTTCACAAAACAATACCCACTCTTAATATGTGTGTGACACAATTTGATATTTTCTATTCCATTTCTTTAAAATTAGATTTCATGACCCACTACTGGATCATAACCTATTTGAAAACCACATCATTACATACATCAGGAATTCAACCAGCTTTTGCAAATTGTGTGAGATGTTCACTCACGTTTACTTAGCCAGAAAAATAAACACAAACAGATCTATTGCTGGATTCCCCTTAAAAATCTCCATCTCAGAATTCTCAGGTCTCAATCAATTCAACATTAAATACATTGTGATATCCCAACTTTCTTTAAATACTGGGGCTATAAGGTTTTTGTTTGGCTTTATATTTCCATTTCAACCCTTCCTATCTGCCTTTGTCCCTTTTCAGCATTTAGTGTTTCTTATAATAAAAATAATACAGTCCAGCAATTTTCACTTTAGTGGAAATGAAAACTTTCTTTTTAAAAGCAATGAAGTTCCCTAACTCCCTCTATCACAAACACAGTGTCAATCAGCAATCTAAAAAATTTTCCCCCAAAAGTCTAGCTCCCTGGCTGATCCTGAGTAGTCAAGCCCACAATTACACACAGCTTAAAAGGCCTGGGACAGAAGGGACAGGCCTTTACCTGGCAGGTGAGGAAGCAGACCAATACCAGAGTCAGAGAAGGTAAGAACTACCTCTTAGCAGATTTTCAAATACGGAGAAAGGAATTATGCTTTTCTATGTACAAAGGTCACAGTAAATCCTCTAGATGCAACTTCCTGGACTGCATTCAAACCCGGAAGACAGATAAATAGGCAGCTTCACAGCAGTGTTAAGACCCAGAGTCATATGCTAGTCGTGGATAAACAAGATGGGCTTAAGGGACATTTCACATGAGAGAGGTTAGAGAGGTAGGCCTGATGCTACTAAACTGGCAGCTAAGCTGCCCAGTCATCTGTCAGGCCTCCAGATTAACACTCTAGTACAGAGCCATCACCAACAAGTCAATTGCAATGAGGAGCAGGAAGTTAAGGACATGGGAGAGAAGCTTTTAGCTTTCAGTCCACTTTTTTAGAGTTTGAGGGGCTAAGAGAAGGGTCAAGAATTTGGCAAAGGCTTCTGCAGGTTTCACAGGTAAACTCCAACAGCAATGTTGAAACTTCTTCCAAAGCTGATTAAGCCTTAGAGCTGTGACCACAGTACAGCCGGCTTAACTATGACCGGTTCAACAGCCAGAAACTAAGATTTATATGAATACTAAGACAATTATGTAATTTTCTCATTTCTCTCCTCTCTGATACATTCTACTTCTAGCAGGCTAGGTAGAGAAGACTCCATAAAAGGCTTTATTAACTGCTATAAGATTAAACTAACTTCCACCCCTCAGAGTCTACACTTGTGATATCATGTACTGGGGCAGATTATAAAAAGGCATGACTTTGAAATATCCCAAGTGTTGTCTCATCCTAAAGATGACTTATAAGTATGTGGTTGTCTGGTATGCTAATATTTGATGAGTAATGCTATATACACCGCCACTGCTCAACAACATGAGGTAATGACAAAAGAAACAGGTTGACTGGATGTCCTCGAGGTGTTTTTTTTTTTTTTTTTTTGGTTTGTTTTTAATTAAAACCAAGTTTTTCCTTTGTACTCCACAGCGAATATACATAAAAGGCAAAAGCCATACATACACATACATTCAACCAAGTCACTGAAATACAAGATTCCATGCTGAGTGGTGGCAGGTTAACATCAATGTGGACTGTGTATACTGGGAAGAAACAAAATGCAACCCTTACTCATAATCTCTAGCCAAACAGTTATGATTGCATTACCTTGTAGTTGCATAATTTCCAAAGTGTTTTCATAAGCATGGCACATAGGGGGCACTTAAACATTTACTGAATTGAACTCTGCAGCATTAACAGATTTGATCTTCAGGATACCTGGATCAGCCTGGGCAGGAAGAGCATGAATGTCCCACTTTAAAGCACAAAGGAAACTAAAGCACAGAGAGCATAAATTCTTTGCCCAGTGTTCTTTTTTTCAACTAAATCGTAGAATACGCATTTAAATTCAGGTTTCCTAATTCCTAAGTCAGTACTTTACCCCTCACATGCCCTTGCATCACAAACCTACGAAAAGACAGAGAACACTGTAGATATCTTTATGTCCTGATGGCCAAAGAATACCAGATATCATCAGGAAGGGGAAGGGTCTGGGGACCAAAGTCATCCCACCTCAGGGCAGAGCCACCCATAATTAAAAGACTAGACTGAGGTACCTCTCAGGAATATCCTAAGAGTTTGCTGAAATCTAAAAGAAACTCAAATTATCAAGGGACTAAAAAAGCTCTCCTAAAAAGATAAGGACTTTTCAGTCTGTGGTTGTGAGAGAACAGGATAGGAGAAAGCAAATCTTGCTGAGTAAATGCTGGCAACCCAAAATTAGGGAATACCTCTTGGAGTCAGGGGTCTTGGAGTCAGGGGTCTTAAACAAATTAAAGTTCTTATATAACATAATGCAGTAGGATGCACTCATTAAGTTCATTATCCTAGGAGATGGTAGAAACTAAAAATTTAATAAAGAAGATGCAATGGTTAAAAACTCAGAAACTGTACATGTAAGATTTGTACACATCACTGTTTGTAAACTTTCTCTTTAAGAAAAACCCCCAAATTTGAAAAGAGCCATAAAAAATGAAAAAATGTATTTAAAATGTGATGGCATTTCAATAAAGAAAAAAAATAGATGTAACAATCGGAGTGAAGTGAGAGACAGTTTAAGCACATTCTCATAAACTTCCAAGGTTGGTGTGGTCTCTCGTAGGTGACAGGATTCTGCTAGCCTGGACACGCCTGTGAGAAGCTGGGATTCTGAGGCTTTCCCTGAGGCTCCAAGAGGGCAGGTGCTTTTGTTTTTCAAACTCTGTATCCACAGCATCCACCATGGTCAGGTCTGAATAACTGAGAACTGGTTTTAAGTCCTAGTTCTGTCGTCAGTGACTAGCACTGGGACTTGACAACAGGCTTTTTACCTCTGAGCCTCCATTTCTTTGGCTCCCAAAACAGACACCAACCTATCTTGCCTGTTTGACAAGGTCATGAGGATCAAACAAAAGTATTTATCAAAGCATTGTTAAACATAAGATAATGCTAATGCTACAAGCATTTTAATAGAACAAGAATGTGAACCAAAAGCTTCAATTAGTCATGGGGCCAGAGAACAAAGTAACAAAAGCATAGCAAGATTAGCCTCAAATGTTTAAAATGACCCAGGGCAGACTTATAAGATTGAAGATTCAGGATTAAAATTTCAGGTTTCTAGAAAAAAGTCCCAAGAGTAAACTTTACTTGAAGGAGGCTTACAACTTTTCACTGCACAGAAATTTAAGACTTCACTTTGAAACCTGACACACTAAAAGTCAGTGTTGGACCAGCAAAGTTTTATGACCACATAAAGTTTACAAGAAACTACATGCAGAGAAATAACATGGTCAAAGCCATTTCTGACGGAGAATGACAGTGAGGGGGACAAAGACTATAGAGGAGTCAGGAAGCCTGGGTTCCAGAACAGGCTCAGCATCTCTTTTTGGTTTTTTTGGGGGGGAGGGGGTCACATGTTAAAACCTATAATCTAGGCCAGGAGCTGTGGCTCACGCCTATAAATCCAAGCACTCCGGGTGGCCAAGGCGGGCGTATCACCTGAGACCAGCCTGACCAACATGGAGAAACCCCGTCTCTACTAAAAATAAAAAATTAGCCGGGCATGGTGGCGCATGCCTGTAATCCCAGCTACACAGGAGGCTGAGGCAGGGGAATTGCTTGAACCCAAGAGGCGGAGGTTGCAGTGGTCCGAGATTGAGCCATTGCACTCCAGCCTGGGCAACAAGAGCGAAACTCCGTCTCAAAAAAAACAAAAAACAAACCCCACTATCTATTTGTTCTTGATAGGAACCTGGCCTCTCACCAATTAACTCCTATTCAACTTTCAAAGCTGATTCAAAAGCCACTTTAAATGTGAAGTCTTCCCACACATGTATACAAAACTCATGGCTCCTTTCTATCAGGCTTCCATACTATTCATAAAACCTTATTATAGTTGAGCTGTTTTTAGGCCCAATAGATTGTGATGCCTTCTAGTGTTCTTCCCTTCCCCGGAAGGCAGAAAAGATGTTCTATTAAGCTTAAAAGAATGCTGCGCACTTGCTGGGTGCTCCTTAAAATATACACTGATTGATATATGAATGCTTAGGTGTCCCATTTCATGTTAAAAGTACCTCCATCAGTAGCTTGATAAAGCCCCTGGCCATTTGCACATTTCAGAAAGGCGTACCTGGTCTGCACAGGTCTCCATGTTGCTCTTTTTCACTGGCATAGACCTCCATGCACCAAGCATGGTATGCAAATGAGAAGAGATCTTCTATTTTAGCAGGTGGTCGGATTGCGTTGTTCAGTCTCTTCAGCCACTCTTGACACTGCTCAAAGGTTGAAAACTGACACCTTTTGTAAAGCCAAACAAGTATGGATGTAATCAGAAGACAGTTGAAATGAAATGTAAGAAAAGCCATTATTTCAAGAATGCCCACTCGTAGTGAAGTGGGAACTACAACCAAGAAAGCATCTGAGGCAGTCAGTCATTCGCATGCTCATTATCACTTATAAGAAAAACAAATGTTAGCCAATGGAACAAAATGTCCAAAAGGAGGAAGCTGACCATTGGAAAACCTATTTTTTTAGACTAATGAAATCTCTTCTAAGATTAATGACAATTATTACAGAAAAATGGCAGCTATTCTCTTTCATGAGTGGAGTTTCATTCTACTTCTTCCATCGAAGTTTTATGGTTGTCCCTCATAAAAAATATGTTTAGAAAAATCTTTGTTTTGTAGTAACATATTAGATCAAGTTTAAAAAAAAACAGCATTATTTTTAGCCAGTTAGGTAGTAATTTCAATATTTAGCTATTAGGACAAATCAGATCCAAAAGACAGATTGCACTGAAACTTTCAGCTATGACCATGTAGAGAACAAAACAATTCTATTGTCAACTGCGATTTTCAGTATATACAACTAAGAAGTTAAAATAATTAGTGAAAACTAATTTATTAAAGATATGTTTAGGCTGAGTGCAGTGGCTCATGCCTGTAATCCCAGCACTTTGGGAGGCCAAGACGGGCAGATCACTGGAGGTCAGGAGTTCAAGACCAGCCTGGCCAACATGGCAAAACTCCCGTCTCTGATAAACATACAAAAATATTAGCCAGGTGTGGTGGCGTGCACCTGTAATCCCAGCTTCTCAGAAGGCTGAGGCACGAGAATCACTTGAAACAGGGAGGTACGGGTTGCAGTGAGCCAAGATCACACCACTGCACTCCAGCCTGGGCAACAGAGTGAGGCTCTGTCTCAAGAAAATAAATAAATAAAAATAAAGATTTGTTTAAATATTTGGCCTTTTTGAATGCAATGTTAAAAACTGACTAATTAATAAGCAACTACCTTCTTAAACTGTGAGTTGTAGCCAGTATCTATCAAAAATAAGCCAAATCTCACTGACTAAAAAGCAATATAAATATCTATCTTAAAACCAAGGGGTCACTTAAACCTCTCTCTCATCCCAATCATGGTGGCTCATCAGTATGCCAACACATAATATTTACTGACACCCCAGAAGAGGTCAGAGGAATGCAGTAAAAACTTGTGGAATTTAAGACCTCTAGAGCTATTAAATTTAAAAATGCATTTCAGGCATCGTTGTTGGTTTTTGGTTTTTCAGATGGAGTCTTGTTCTGTCACCCAGGCTGGAGTACAGTGGCGTGATCTCAGCTCACTGCAACCTCTTGCCTCCCAGGCTCAAGCAATTCTTCCGCCTCAGACTCCCAAGTAGCTGGGACTACAGGCGTGCACCACCACACCCAGCTAATTTTCGTATTTTTAGTAGAGATGGGGATTTGCCATGTTGGCCAGGCTGGTCTCAAACTCCTGACCTCAAGTGATCCACCCCCACCTCGGCCTGCCAAAGTGCTAGGATTACAGGCGTGAGCCACCACACCCAGCCTGCAACCATTATAGTTAAGCGCAGATACAAATCATCAATGAATGCTAAACTTATGGAGAAATTTTTATGAGAAGCAGGGACATTTGCATTGTTTCAAAGTGCCTCCCCCAGACTGTTTTTAGTTGCAAGAGAGAAAACGCAGAAATTATACAGAAGCCAGGTGACATCTCGACTGGAATAATCAAAATTAACATCACCAATGAAGGACATGTGGACACTGTACTTCCAGATGTAATACAATACCCTGAAAAGGATGTGACATCATATATACAGTATTCCAGTTGAGAAAATAGAACCTCAATTTAATTGAGGAAATACTGGACAAACACAACATGAGAAGTATTCCATTAAAACAAAAGATTGTATTCTGCAAAATGTGAATGTCATAAAAGAAAATAAGGCTGTAGAAAATGTTCCAGATTGGCCGGGTATGGTGGTTCATGCCTGTAATCCCAGCACTTTGGGAAGCCGAGACGGGCAGATCACGAGGTCAGAGTTCAAGACCAGCCTGACCAACATGGTGAAACCCCATCTCTACTAAAAATACAAAAAATTAGCCGGGTGTGGTGGCACACACCTGTAACCCCAGCTACTCAGGAGGCTGAGGCAGGAGAATCGCTTGAACCCAGGAGGCAGAAGTTGCAGTGCGCTGAGATCGTGCTACTGCACTCCAGCCTGGGCAACAGAGCAAGACTCTGTCTCAAAAATCAAACAAACAAAAACAAAAAGAAAATGTTCCAGATTAAAGAAGGCTACAGAGTCATGGCAGCTAAATGCAATATATGACCTAGACTGGATCCTGTACTGAATGAGATGGAGGTGAGGGAGAATGCTATAAAAAAGTATCAATAGGTCATTAGGTGAACTGACAAAATTGGAACATGTATAGTAGACTGGATGTAAGTATTATCAATGTAAAATTGAAAATTGATAATGTTATGGTTATGTAAGAAAATATCCCTATTCTTAGGAAAGCACACTAAAGTATTTTGGGGTTAAGAGCCATGATTACGTAACTTACTCTCAATCTGTTCAGGAAAAGAAACACACACACACATACACACACGCCTCTGCAAATAATAAAGCAAATGGTAAAATGTTAACAAGTGAATCTGGGTGAATGGTGTACTGATGTTCTTTTTAGTATTTTTATTTTTGCCCTTTTGTAAATTTAAAATTATTTCCAAATTAAAAAAAAAAAACATCTTTCAACATAGCAAAGTATACATCCTACAGATAAAATATTTCAGGCACAAACTACTCAGAAAATATTCCTAATGAGGCTAATCATCAAAAGGTATTTTACTAAGTTACCAAATAATGGACCCATTCTTTAAAAAATATTTTCCACACTAAACAGCAACACAAACATACCATACCACATACCTGATAACTTTGCAGTCTTTGCAAGTCAAATGAAGCTGAAATATATCTCGGCATTCAACACTTTCTATAAGCTGTAATGGAACCTGCAATTTTAAAAAAATGAAGTCCTCTTAGTCAAAAAGGCATTGACCCTGGAGTTCTTCAATGTGTCCAACAAGACTAATTAAAAAGATCTATAAGGGAAAGCAACAAAAATAGAACTGCAAACTTATCTGGATCAACAGTACTCAAGTGATTTACTACAAAGTGAATTAGGACTTCCCTTTATCTCTAAATCAGTGGTCTCAAGTCATGTCATAGCATGAAGGCAACAAAGAGGTGGCACCACCTTTGGAAGAAGGGGAGAATATATCTCTCAGGCACCGAATTCACAAGATCAGAGTACTACTTTTAGATGCTATAACTGACTATGATTTGCAATGATGCAATGACATAGAAGCTGAAGGGAGCCAGAACAGTAATCTTTTCTTGCTTATAGAAAAGAACTACAGATCAGAATGCCAGTGGGAGACTATTGTTTGCCCCAAATGACAGAGTGGGCTTATGGCTTAGTGTCAGCCAATGAGGCTCCTGAAAAAGACTAGAGTTCTAAGCTGACTGTGGATTGCACAGAAAAGACAATGGGGCAATAGCTGCTGGCCAGGCTCTCTACTAAGTAGAATAGACCCAAAAGTATCAAAAAGGAGGGAGAAGGCCATACAGTGATCAAGGATGCTAAAGCTATAATAACTATGTCAGATTTGCTTCAAAAAATCAGTTAGAAGCCCCGTTTGCCAAATGGGGCTTGAGGTTTGAACAAGCTGGAATGGTTCCCCCTTGCCAATCTGGTCTACAGACTCTACTGGACACAGGATTATGTACAACAGCAGATAGAGAGAAGGGAGACAGATAGAAGCAAAAGCATCTAGACAGGGTGCCAAATCTTCAGGATAATATGAGGATCCTCCTCCTATCCCTTAAATCATCCTAATTCAACCCTTGGCTTCAAAAAGCAATTTCTAGGCTTTCAAGGCAAACCTGGTAAAATAATAGTGAATACTTTTACTCCTTGAAAAAGGAGTGGGCCATTTGCCTCTTACAGTGTATCAAGTCTAGCCAAAATGTGGCTCTGGGAGTTGCAAATAGCATTCCAACAACTTGTGTTTAGTATGCAAAGAGGAGGACAGTCTCCTCCAATGCAGACAGGAACAAGAGTACTGTCTGCACAGGCTGGCCCTCGTGTTAGCTGAGCCAGTTTCAGGAACAAGCTTCCTGCAAACTCTGCCCCACCACAGAGCTGCCAGTCAGCACAGAACTCTCAGAATGAGGATGCAGGGATCAAAAAGAAGCCCAGTGCTGGACAAAGAAACAGAAACTGGAGCAGGGGTTAAAGAAGAGAAGAAAGCAAAATAATATTACTCAGATAAATGACTGGGAGTTTCTACCTTAGGACTAAAGTCTTCTTGCTTTTAAGTCTACAGTCTATAAAAATTCCCTTACAAATGTAATAGGACTGGGGGTCAGAAAAAGACTAAGAAATCTTGGCCGGATACGGTGGCTCACGCCTGTAATGCCAACATTTTGGGAGGCCGAGGTGGGCGGATCACCTGAGGTCAGGAGTTTGAGACCAGCCTGACCAACATGGAGAAACCCCATCTCTACTAAAAATACAAAATTATCCAGGTGCGGATAATTTTGGTGCATGCCTGTATTTTGGTGCATGCCTGTATTTGGTGCATGCCTGTATTTGGTGCATGCCTGTAATTTTGGTGCATGTCTGTAATCCCAGCTACTCCAGAGGCTGAGGCGGGAGAATCGCTTGAATCCCAGAGGCAGAGACTGCGGTAAGCTGAGATCGTGTCATTGCACACCAGCCTGGGCAACAAGAGCAAAACTCCATCTCAAAAACAAAAAAAAAAGAAAAGAAAAAAGAAAAATCTTGCCTGTGTTCTGAGAACAAAAGGAGCTTTTGGCCTTCTGTTTTTATTTACGTCCTTAACCCCAAGGTGCTGTGAGAAACTGCAACTGATGCAACTAAGAATTCTTCTGAGACCTGTGCATCTAAGAAGGAAAAAAAAAAACAAACAAACCTACAATTTATCAGAGATAAAACTATAAAGAAGAAATATTGAGATTAAGAAGACAGATTAGAAGATAACTTTGCTTTGTTCTCAGGCCAGTTCTCTGGGTAGCCTGTAACAGACACTTACTGCTTTTTATTTTGTATATACTCCTGCTAACTACCTTACTCACTATATCCCCCCAAAATGTGGCTGCCAGACTGGCAATTAAGAGCCGTGAGTTCTAATCTCAATTTTCTAAAATGTTACCAATTAAAATTTTGCTGGCTTCATTGGGCAAGCCTCCAGCCTTCCCATGTGCCATCAGCCTCTGCTTTCTGAACCTTGGTCACAACTAAGGAAATCTCAGTCATGGGGCCTGGGAAGAGTCTGGGATAGGATTAGAGTGAGCTTTACAAATCCACAAGAAGAGGCTGCTCTTGCAGCAGTCACCTGCATCCCAAGTCCCCTGCAACTGACTTTCTTTATGGACAGAAGACATGAAAACCAGCTAATGCTCTTAGCAGCTGCTGGGGGAAATGGATTAGCCTTTGCTACTTTGCTACAAAGAACAGGTAAGTTTTACATCCTTATTACTAAACCAGAGCCCAATGGCCCGTGCCCAAATTTAATATCATAAAATTATCTCAGACCATGCAAAACATTTGCTACCTAAAATTCAGGCAATATATACATATTTTTTTCTATATTTTAACATCTTAAATTGAAGAAAAAAGAATTAGAATGTTGGTTCTATGCATTGAAATCAGATTGCAGACACCAGCAAGTCACCAAAATCAACCATGTGTATTACAAGTCACAGATACGGAGAACAGCAGATTTTAATATTCATGCAGACTGTCACATGCAGGAAAGCTTAATACGCAGCAAGAATAGGGACATACAAAAGAGAAACACCTGATTTTTATAACAAATATCTCCCTTTTCTTCTCCTTTCTACTGCAGTGTTTCCCTTCAGCACTTCCTGCACAGACTGCCTTTTCTTTCTTTCTTTCTTTCTTTTGAGATGGAGTCTCGTTCTGTTGCCCAGGCTGGAGTGCAATGGCGCGATCTTGGTTCACTGCAACCTCCACCTCCCAGGTTCAAGCTATTCTCCCTGCCTCAGCTTCCTGAGTAGCAGGCACCTGTGATCCCAGCCACCACGCCCAGCTAATTTTTGTATTTTTAGTAGAGATGGGGTTTTGCCATTTGTCCAGGTTGGTATCGAACCCCTGACCTCAGGTGATCCACCCGCCTAGGCCTCCCAAAGTGCTGGAATTACAGGTGTGAGCCACTGCACCCAGTCCAGATTGCCTTTTCTAAAAGGCAGAATTGACCTTCTTTTCCTGTTCATACCTCCATCCAAAACATACTGTTTCTCTATTTTCTTAAGGCCCACTACACTGCTTTAGGTTCAAATTTCCTCACATATGAAAACAATCTCTTAACATTTCTATAACTAGAGATACCCTATATTCAACCTCAAAAGCAAATTACAGATTCAAGAGCCAGTCCACTTTACAGCCCAGGAAGGTTAAACTACTACACTATAAGCTAATATAGTAGTAAAGTCAGGACCAGGATCCATGTCTGTCCTCCAGCCTGGGCTCCTTCCACCATACACGGTGTGTCTTTCTTTCTGCCCCTACACGTGGGCTTCTCTTCCATATGAGCTCTACTTTAGTTTTTCTTTCACAAATAAGTAGCTTCTCCACCAGGGATCTTCAAGAGGAAAACAGAGTTTAAATCAAAACTCCTCAGATGCAATTCCTTTTGTAAAAGAGTAGCAAGATAAACTCACTTTCAAATCCTCTCAAACGTACTGATTCAATGTCTTGTAGCAACTCATTTTCTTTTTGCTCCTCTCTCCTCTATCTCTCCACCTGCCAGGTAACGCAATCTCACCTTACAATGCTTTTCCTAATATAAATTTCACCAAACTCATGCTCAAACAATGCATCAAACACATTCAGTGCTACAACCAATTCCTCAAAAAGCCAAGTTACATTATAGACACTAACACCCTGAAGAGCATCAATCCAAAAAAAGCAGAAGAGCAGCAGTTTAAAAATTTAACAGACATACAGACATGCACAGGTTATGTCCACAGTACTGTCACATTCCAGAGGGAACTGATGCCATCATACCCTACTATATTTACCTCATTTCATTCTGGGTGTGTGTGCATACATGTGCATTATTTTTAAACACCAGAATCTAGAGTGGGATAATTCCTACCTTTTTAAAAACAAACACCCTTTTTATAGCCTGAATGGGAAGTACTAATCTTGTACACGTGAAGTTAAAATGGCAGTAAAAGAGTAAAAATAATGAGTCTAAATCTAAAATCAGTAATAAAGTGGAATATCTGGGCACAAAAATCTTTTCATTTAAAAACTAATCAGGGCCGGGCACGACGACTCACATCTATAAACCCAGCACTTTGGTAGGCTGAGGCAGGAGGATCGCTTGAGCCCAGGAGTTCAAGACCAGCCTGGGCAACATGGTGAAACCCTGTCACTACAATAACATAACATAACATAAAAATAAAATAAATATAATAAAATAAAAATAAAATAAAATAAAAAATTGAGTGCAGTGGCTCACATCTGTAATCCCAGCACTTTGGGAGGCCAAAGTGGGTGCACTGCTTGAGCCCAGGAGTTTTGAGACCAACCTGGGCAACACAGACATCATCTCTACAAAAAATAAAATTAAATTAACTGAACGCGGTGGCATGTGTCTGTAGACCTAGCTACTCAGAAGGCTGAGGTGGGAGGATCACCTAAGCGCAGGAAGTTGAGGCTGCAGTGGGCCATGATGGCGCCAGTGCACTCCAGCCTGGGCGACAGAGCAAGACCCTGTTTCAAAAAACAACCACCAAAAACCCACTAATCAGCAGAAGACTGTCACTGGTTTAAGATTCAAACTCTATTGTTCACCTTTGACAATTTACAAGCCTCCAGCACTGCTTTCAGAGGCTCCCACTGTTATATGAATGCTAGATCAAAGTGCATTAAATGTTAACAATAACCTCCTTCGCAGCAGGGTGTGGTGGCTAACGCCTGTAGTTCCAACACTTTGGGAGGCTGAGGTGGGAGAATAACTTGAGCCCAGGAGACTAAGGCTGCAGTGAGCCGAGACTGTGCTAACGCACTCCAGCCTGGACAACAGAGTGAAACTCCGTCTCCAAAAAACAAAGTGAAAGAAAAAAAAACTAGTGTTGATTTTACAAATTATTTCTAACAGAAACTTGTTCTACATTTTTTTGAAGGTCACAATTCCATCTGCTTATGTATAAACTGCAGGGCTTTTTCCTTACCCTACAAATTGTTCTCCTAGTAGCATACAACTGGAATTTGGTCCAGTAAGAGGAAAAGGACTCATGCAGAGGGGAAACATTCTGCTGATTTGCAAGGTGAGCATCTAACACTCAAAACCAATTTGCTCCAAGCACAGGTGCAGCAACCGCCTAGGATTTTCATACTACTTACAGGGATTTTAGAAGCAGCAGATTGAGAAGCAGTCTATTAAATTACAAACACATACACACACACACACACACACACACACACACACACACACAAACAAACTTTTAAACGTTCATGAATTCCACTTGAACACTTGTTTATAATTTATCTAAGCTTCAAAGAACTATGTCTGTAAATATATAATAATTTGGGAAAAGCACAGAATAGGAGCAATGTATACCTTAAATGCTACACATAAACTCTACTACAGAGATTCTTTACCACAGGAACTGGAACTTGATATTCAGTGAATGTGTGAATTAAAGTAATGATGTTTACGGTATCAAAACCTACAGACACATTTTACTCAATGTGCTGTGAAATTAAAAGAGAATATATGATATCAGGTAGCTATTTAAAACTTGATGGTAAATCATTTTCTGAAGTGCTAAGTATTTTGATTTAAGCATACAAAATGATGAACTGGGGCATGCCACAACATATGCTGGTATGTCTGGGCTTTGATGGTTTAAATGTGTTTGATATAGATAAAATAACATTTAAAGAGAGCCTCCTGATCTAACATTTTATTGAAATACACATATTTTATTGAAATACTTATTTGCTAAGGGAAGGAAAGAGGGAGGGGCAACACCACTACCAACTGTCTGATCTCCATCCAGGACCCGATGCAGGAAGAATCCTTGTTTCCTAAGTACCTCCAGGTTTCAGGTTTCAGGAATCTCTTAGCACTAGCTGTGATGAAATTAATTTATTTTTATGGAGGAGTTCTAGTCTCTCTCAATCTGAAATTTTTTTTTTTTTTTTTTTTTTTTTTTTTTAATGAGACAGAGTCTCGCTCTGTCACCCAGGCTGGAGTGCAATGGCACGATCTCGGCTCACTGCAAGCTCCACCTCCCGGGTTCACGCCATTCTCCTGACTCAGCCTCCTGAGTAGCTGGGACTACAGGTGCCTGCCACCACGTCCGGCTAATTTTTTGTATTTTTGGTAGAGACGGGGTTTCACCGTGTTAGCCAGGATGGTCTTGCTCTCCTGACCTCGTGATCCTCCTGCCTCGGCCTCCCAAAGTGCTGGGATTACAGGCGTGAGCCACCGCGCCCGGCCTCAATCTGAAATTTTTAAAGTCACTGCAATGCCAAAATACTTTTACACCATCATTTTTCTGTACAAAGCCATTACCTTGGGTGTTTTTTTTTTTTTCCTTTTTTTTTTTGACAGAGTCTCCCTCTGTCATCCAGGCTGGAGTGCAGTGGCGTGATCTCAGCTCATTGCAACCTCCGCCTCCTGGGTTCAAGTGATTCTCCTACCTCAGCTTCCTGAGTAGCACATGCCACCATGCCCAGCTAATTTCTGTATTTTTAGTAGAGATGGGGTTTCACCATTTTGGCCAGGCTGGTTTCGAACTCACAACCTCAGGTGAACTGCCTGCCTCAGCCTCCCAAAGTGCTGAGATTACAGGCGTGCATCACTGCACCCGGCCTACCCTGGGCTTTTTAAGTAACATGTAGGCTCTATGCCTTAGAGGGTTATGATGCTAACAGAAAAAAAACACTTTCAGATTAAGAAAATTGATCAAAAGAAAGAACAGTGGCAAGTTTCCTTAAGCATTATCTCTCAATCACAATGGGGGATCAACAATTCCAGTCAACAACCTACTCACACAGCTATCCTTAGAGACAATTAAGCCACAGCCTATTCACACAGAAGTGTACTGTTTTAAAATGAGCTTTAAACACCAAAGGGGGAAAAGGTTCTAATGCCCACTTCAAACCCACATTAACTTCAATTCATTTAATATTTACTGAATATTGTGGCACCAGGAGACATGCTGGATCTTGAAGACACAAAAACAATTAACCAAAAATTACAACCTATTTGGTAAATGTTATAAAAGAATGTACAAGATAAAGACAAAGCAAAGAAAGAGTGTAGTTAACTGTCACAGAGGGAACTGGGACTAAGAAAGGCTTCACAGGAGAAGTTATCACCTGAACTGAATTTTGACAGATGAACAGAAGTTCCTGGGCCGAAAAGAGAACACAGAGGTGTGAGGTATGGCTGAATAGTACAAAGAGGCTGCTTTTACAAGTAAAAATGTGATAATGGGGAAAGGAGGGAAGCTGTGATCCTTGGTCCCTGCCACGTTGTCAGACAGCTTCATGTCATGCTAAACAATCTGATCTTCATCATAGAAGTAGTGAAGAAACACTGAAGGGCTTTAAGCTGATGAATGACATGATCAGTTTCTTTCTTTCTTTCTTTCCTGCTTGCTTTCCAGCAGACCTTATTCCCAAATAGTTCTAAAATAGTCTCTGAAACACTTGGCCATCAACCAATAAACTGATAAATACAGGATGATATGAGAAAATGCAATGATATGAAACTATCATTCTCACATGCAATTTAATTATAATTTAATTCCAGCAATTCAAACACTGAAAGAACACAAAGTTAAATTGGGCAGTTCTACTAAACACTACTATCATTACTTCCACAGTAGCTGGTGGGGAATTCTCAGTTGCTGGGATTTTATAGGTGTTTCCCCCCTTTCCCCTCCCCATCACGACTACTCAAATCCAAGTGGACCCTTCTGAACAGAGTGCTACATAGTATGAAAGAACAGCATTGCCTCTTTCCTTAATGAATCTGGTGTGTATCTTTAGCTGATAGACAGAAAACTGATGTAACTGCTATAATCATGGCCCAAATCTAGAAGCCAGAAGGGATTCAGGCCAAAACTGCTCCTGGACATAAATGCTTAACTACAAAGAAGAATGATAATAAGAAGTAAAAAATGTCAACTACCAAAAAAAAAATGACAGCCACTGAGTCTTTTTTTAATTGCTGAGTAAAACGAATGAACAAGATTTCAAAGAATCCCAAAATGAAGCCAAAACACAGTCTGCATGGAATTACAGTCCTGAGCTGTTTTAACGTGTCATAATACACTTCTCTGTGCTGGAAGTGGAGTGTAGAAAGCCACAACACTGGCAAGTAAAGAAGGAAGAAGGCATTTGCTGTAAGTACATGAATTTTCAAGCCTTTATTCGTTTCATTTAAGGCTAATGATAGCAGAGCACTGGAAGAACCAGTTCACTGAGAGGACATTCATAACTGAAAAGGGTAAATGTACTCTTGAGAATCAAGAGGCTTCCTTTTCTTCAGTAATACATAGTCCATTATGCAAATCAACATTATACTTAACATCTACACTTATACCACCAAGGAGTCATTAGAGTAACCTCATGCTGTAATGAGAGTCTGCAGTGAGCTCAAAGTGCATCTCATCTTTTGACATTAAGGCCAAGGGAATTATCTCAACTGAGGCAGTTGGTAACTACTAAAGATTGCAGAATAAAAGCCCATTCAGCCTTTATACCTTTATAAAGCTTAATGATACAGCATTACCTAATGCAAATCATTCACTGTTAAACTAAACAATGGACACCTCAGCTGACAACTACACACATCATTTTAAATCAAGCATAAGAGCTGCTTGCTGATCTAGTGTGTTTTGTTGTTGTTGTTTGTTTGTTTTTGAGATGGAGTCTTGCTCTGGTCACCCAGGCTGGAGTGCAGTGGCGTGATCTTGGCTCACTGCCAGCTCCACCTCCCGGGTTCATGCCATTCTCCTGACTCAGCCTCCTGAGTAGCTGGGACTACAGGCACCTGCCACCACGCCCGGCTAATTTTTTGTATTTTTAGTAGAAATGGGGTTTCACCGTGTTAGCCAGGATGGTCTCGATCTCCTGACCTCGTGATCTGCCTGCCTTGGCCTCCCAAAGTGCTGGGATTACAGGCGTGAGCCACCGCGCCTGGCCAAGCCAGTGTTCCTTGAGTGCTAAATTAAGTGAGAAAAGCAGAGCACATAATGCTTTCTCTCCCAATTCTGTATGCCTCTCCTCTCTTTGAGAGCATTAAGTTTTTTGACTTACTTTCTCCATTTACCTTAGAGGGAGAACAGCTGGTAATCACTTACATTAACAAGAGACTCCTTGAACTTGATGTGAAGTCTGTAATTGGAAAGGGCAATGATGGCATCCTCGGCACGGCCCACAAACTCTGTGCTCTCTCCATGAAGTTCAAGGAAAGGAACCTTCGAAATGAAAGAAACCCTTCAGAGTTCTGAAGCAGTTAAAAAAAAAAAAGCTTCAAACATCAGTTGGCTGAATGGATGGTAAATCCTCTGCCACTGAAGTTGAAAACACAGCACATAAGTAGATAAGGAAGCTAAAGAGGATGGGTTTATACCCACCTAATTCAAATATATCTAGTTATTCAAATTCTGAACTACTAAAGGAATGATACAGAGAAGATCATCTTAAACAGTGGATTCTCAGGAAATAAGTCTTGCTAAAATGAGATGTTTTCCAGCTTGCATTTCTACTACATGTATGTTATATATATATATAATATAGTACGTTACACTTAAATCCATTAACTCTGCTATACAGTTAATGCTAAATAAATATTTTACATTTAAAAGTGGCCTATAATTACCTGAAGATTCTCATCCTCCCGGATCAGCTGCTTCCTGGGAAAGATCTGATTGGCCTGGATGCACTCAAGGCTGTGCCGAGTCTCTTCATCCTGGAAAAGTCCAAAACCTTAAAATAATTTCAAAGCTTCTAATCATTCATATTTGGTTTTTCTGCCATATCTGCTAGCATAATCACAATGAAAGTACAAAGACCAAGGTGAACAGGCAGAAAAGCTCAAGGAAACAATATTGATCTTAAAAAGTTTTTCTATCCAATACATTAGTTACATCTAGTCTGAAAACACATTGATGCAAAAAAAATGTCAAAGAGGTTAGAATATTTCTATTAGGCACTAACAGCTTCTTAATACTTTTTTTTCTTTTTTTGAGACAGAATCTCACTATCACCCAGGCAGTGGTGCACTGGTAGTGTAGTGCACAGGTAGTGCGGTGGTGTAATCTTGGCTCGCCGCAACCTCTGCCTCCTGGGTTCAGGCGATTCTCCTGCCTCAGCCTCCTGAGTAGCTGGGACTACAGGTGCGTGCCATAACGCCTGGCTACTATTTTTGTAGAGACGGGGTTTTGCCATGTTGGTCAGGCTGGTCTCCAACTCCTGGCCTCAGGTGATCCAGCTGCCTCAGCCTCCCAAAGTGCTGCGATAACAGACATGAGCCACTGTGCCCAGCCCCACACTACTTTTAAGAGAAACCAAGATATAATGCTTTTTTCTCTTTAAGTTACGATCTTAAATTATTTGAGAGATACATACTGAAATATTTAAAAATGAAAGGTGACATTTGAAATTTGCTTCAAAATAACTGGGGCAAGAGTAAGGAAGAAGCGGGACATAAGTGAAACAGGACTATCTATGAATTAGTAATTCATGAAACTGGGTGAGAGTTCATTATCTCTACCATTGTGTCTACTCTGGTTATATGTGAAATTTTCATAATAGAAAGCTTGAAAACAATTTCTAAGAAAAAGTAAGCTTAAGAACTGAATTTCCCAAGTTGAAAATATATGAAAGACTATCCTTCATTTACTCTGCCTTATATTACAAAATAGATTTCTGTTAAGACAATTTCAAAAGAGGAAGCAATAAATTCTCATCTAGATGACATGTAAATTACAATTTGTATTAAAAAGTAATATTTTGCATTATGAATTTTTATGGTATAGGAAGACATGAGAGAAATGTCATCTATCACAAAGCCTGACTAAATTATAATAGAATCTGTTTACACAGCACTTTTCTTTTTTAAGTCAGGGTTTTGCTCTGTCACCCATGTTGGAGTGCAGCAGCACAATCACAGCTAATTGTAACCTCCAACTCCGGGGCTCAAGTGATCCTCCAGCCTCAGCCTCCCAGGTAGCTGGGACCACAGGCGCCCACCACCATGCCAGGCTAATTTTTTTTATTTTCAGTAGAGACAAGGTCTCGTTATGTTGTCCAGGTTGGTTTCAAACTCCTGGGCTCAAGTAATCCTCCCACCTTAGCCTCCCAAAGTTCTGGGATTACAGGTGTGAGCCACCAAGACTGGCCCCACACAGCAATTTTTAAAAGAGCAAAAGCCACATCATGTTCAACTGACAGCATTAAGAATTATAACCAGTGGTTACTGGTTGCTTCTGTGTACACTACTTAACACAATTCCAATAATTTTGTAAGTCTTCCCCCAAAAAGAGTTTTTCTTCTTATCTATAAACAACACTTAAGGTTTTACTAACAGCAACCATAATCATAAACTGGTAATACTCTACACTAGCATGATTCTCAAAATGAAGTCCACAGACTCTGAGATGCTTACAGGGGCCCTGCGAGGTCAAAACCTTCCCAATAATATTACGGTATTATTGCCTTTCTTCACTGTATTGACATCTATACTAATAGTGCAAAAAAACCTGGTAGGTAAAACTGCTGGTACCTTAGCACAATTGAGACAGTGGTGCCAATTTCATAAGAATGACCTTGATAAAGCAAGGAAATATTATAAATTCTATTTATTAAATCCTGACCCTTAAGTAGAAGTCTTTTTTACAGAGGAAATACAAGTAAAACACCTCTGATGTATGGTGCAATATTACGGTGTCACAAAGTAAAGCACTTGTGCAAATGCTTCAATTAAGAGATGAACTAGCCATTTTTTTTCATTGAGTATCATTCTTAATTGGAAGAACAACTGATGGAAAAACTATGGTAATGCAGACTTGGACATTTGGCAGGTCTTTTTTCCAAAAGACACTATTAGGAAAAAAACAAACAGTAACAACAAAAGATAGTATTAGTTGTCAATAATAAAGCTTTTGTGCAAAGATTAGATTTTGGAAAACCTCTCATCTCCCACCATGAACTTTATAGCTTCCTAGTACTTACAACTTTTATCTTTAAAGTGAAGGTATTACCAAGTGTGATTTAAAAAAAAAAAAAAAACACACACTATAATAAAATGTCAACTTTTGAAGATCTGCCTCAATCAACGAACCCATTATTTTCCTAATGACCAATGCATGTTACAAAATCATATGTGGATAAAAGATTCACTCAAAGTACAAGACAGACTAATGGTTTTAATGTAATATAATACAAAAAGTTCACTGATATGGTTTCAGATTCTACACTGCAACTAACCTTTAAAGAACCACCACTGGCCAGGTACACGGCTCATGCCTGTAATCTCAGCACTTTGGGGGGCTACAGTGGGCAGATCGCTTGAGCCCAGGAGTTCAAGCCCAGCCTGGGCAACATGGTGAGACACCATCTCTACAAAAAATAGAGAAACTAGATGGGCACAGTGGCGCATGCCTGTAGTCCCAGATACTTAAGAGGCTGAGGTGGGAGGATCACCTGCACCTGAGGTGCACTGTAGCGGCTACAGTGAGCTGTGATTGCGCCACTACGGTCAAGCCTGGGCAATAGAGCAAGACCTTGTGTCAAAAACAAAAAAACACATCACTTGTCAAGTTTTGGTTTGGTATTAAAGAAAAATATAAATTATCTGGGAAAACTTAAAATACTCTTCCTTTTTTTAACTACTTTTCTAACCACGTATCTGCCTGAGGCTGCATTTTCTTTATATATTTCAAAGAAAACATTGTAACGGACTGAATGCCGAAGTAGATATGAGAATTTACCTGTCATCTATTAAGCCAAATATTAAAGAGATTTGCAAAAATGTTAACACTAAAACTATCTTTGGATGAGGAAAAATATTTTTCATCAAAAAATGTTATTTATGCTACTATATAATTGGTTTGTTGTTACTTTTAAATGAATTTATGAGCATTTTAAAGATTTCTCAGTTTTATTTTCTAATATGGTATAAACAGACATAACCCACATAAACAAACCCTCTTGGGGGTACCTCAATAATTTAAGAAGTAAAAAGAGGTCTGGAAACCATCAGAGCTGCTTCTCTACTATACTCTAATACTAAATACCAATTAAAGCTGCTTCACTCCAAAAGCCAGGCTTTTCCTAAAACCATTCTCCTAGTGCTAATCTATGAAAGGTGAGCCATGATTGCACCACTGCTCTCCAACCCGGGCGACAGAGTGAGATCCTGTCTCCAAAAAAAGAGACCAAATGAAAGATGTGAAGAATCTTCAATTTAGGGAGATTTTTCTCATAAACCAATATGGGATAGTAAGGAAATGCTATGTAAACATGGAGGGGAGCAAAAATCTTACATAAAAGTATACTTTTAACATAACTTCTCAGCATCACATTAACTTTTTACCTCACATAAACTCATAAGGCCTAGACTTTTATTCTGTGTAAGGTCATTTTACAGAGGTACCCATTATTAATCTTTAAGTGATTCCTTGACCTAGTTTTCTGCTGACTTTTAGCACAGAACTGAAGTAATGTAGCAGGCTTGTAAAGAACAAAAAGAAACCATTTACCTACTCACTCTTGCTGGCACACTCACCAGGGTGCTAATCCAGACCAATATGTATCACCAAAGTAGCTACTGAAAACTGAAAATGCATGATTTTCAACATAAAACAACTGAGAATTAGGCCAGCAAGGCAAGAATATGAAGTACTTATTTTTCATAATCAAACAAATGTTCTTTTTAAAAGCTATTGTCTCAATTCACATTACCTGTAAAGCTTCAGAACTTTTCTCCCCTTGTACACAAAAATGCATTTAATCCCCAAGGACGTAACATTAGGATTCATTGAATCTAGGGGACTGGTGATCCCATGTGGCTGAACAGTTGAATTTAGCAGTTGAATTAGCCTGAATTTATTATAGTTTCTGTGAGTTTCATAGGTGAGGAAGGCCAAACTTGAGATGGTTAATAAGGTGAGAAGTTGGAAGAAGATAAATTGGGAAACGCTGGTCTGGTAACAGTTTTGGAAACAAACGTATCCTAGCTATAAGCAGTAACTTATTAGAGAGATGTATTCCATGTCATTAATTTCCTGGTACTGCTGAGGAACACCAGGCATTGTGGCATCTGGCACTTCGTAGTCTCCATCCACCTCCATAAAGTCAGTGGGGTCATCTACAAAATACTGAAAAAGGGCCAGTCACCACAGTTCCAGGCTAGTTTCTGCTATTGGCTAAATTATGCAGCTAAGAGAGGAAAGTACATGCTTCAGAGCAGAAGTCAACCATAGAGATAAATATTTAAAGTACATGGGAAGGGCCGGGTGCGGTGACTCATGCCTGTAATCTCAGCACTTTGGGAGGCTGAGGCAGATGGATCACCTGAGGTCAGGAGTTCGAGACCAGCCTGACCAACATGGTGAAATCCCGTCCCTACTAAAATACAAAAATTAGCTGGGCGTGGTGGCAAGCGCCTGTAATCTCAGCTACTCAGGAGGCTGAGGCAGGAGAATCGCTTGTACCCAGGAGGCGGAGGTTGCAGTGAGCCAAGATCACGCCATTGCATTCCAGCCTGGGCAACAAGAGTGAAACTCCATTTCAAAAAAATAAAGTACATGGGAAGGAGAGACTGATGACCAGTCAATTAATCCTACTAACTGAATTCATATCTAGTGTTCGTGTTTGCAAAGCGTAGAAGTGAAAATAATTATCAGTCCTACTGTCATTTCCAGTCATATTCGTAAGACTGGTATTAGAAGACAAACAATACATTTCCCTTGATAAAATGCTTGGGATTATTGCCAAAAGGGTAGGGGTAAAAGAGGTCAAATGAAACAAGAATAGTCATGAATTTATGATTACTGCAGCTGAATGATGTTCATATGAGTGCACTGTACTTTTCTCTCTGCATAGGCTTGAGATTTTCCACAAAACATGAAAATATATTTTGCTAATGCTTAACCTCTCAAAGACAGACTCCAATCTCGTTTAAGAACCTTTAAGAGTATAAAAGACAAGGGAAAAATGTCACTCTCAAATTAGTACAGCGGTTTACAGTTAAAAACAAAAAGAATGTTCAATGCTCCTGAATTGTCTACACAAAAACTAAGGATTAAGGACATACACTCTAAATGCTATTATACAGTATATAATTAAAATCAATGGTTCAACAACTTGCAGAATGTTATACAGCTAGTAAAATGATCATTAGGAATCCAAGGAATCAACATGGGAGAATGTTTAATTCATTAAGTGAAATAAGCAAAATAGAAACTTAATTATTTTATCATTCTAACTATATAAAACATACATATGAGACATGAACTAGTTAGAAAGGAATATAACCAATGGGGCACAGCAGCTCATGCCTGTGATCCCAGCACTTTGGGAGACTGAGGCAGGCACATCACCTGAGGTCAGGAGTTCGAGACCAGCCTGGCCAACATGGCGAAACCCCGTCTCTACTGAAAATACAAAAATTAGCTAAGCATGGTGGCAGGTGCCTGTAATTCTAGCTACTTGAGAGGCCGAGGCACAAGAATCGCTTGAACCCAGTAGGTGGAGGTTGCAGTGAGCCGAGATCGCACCACTGCACTCCAGCCTGGGCAACAGAGCAAGACTCTGTCTCAAGAAAAAAGAAAACGGAATACAACCATGGGTTCTGGTGGTAGAGTTATAAATGAGAATTTGTAAAAACTTGTAACAATGCTACTTTATGAGAAACTAAACAAAAACAAAAGATACATACATGGCCATGCTACTCCCCAACTAGTACACACAGAATCAACTCCCAAGCGTTGTCTAAAGCATCAGGCCAGGGAAAACACCAGGAAGACTTTCTGCTAGGCACCATGGAGAACCCAGCAGCACCAGGAAGAGGACCACACTGTTACTAGCCGTGTGGTATACAATGAAGGACAAACCCTCAATACAGAACAGAGCTGCTTTCATAAGCCCATCATTTGTTATTCATTAGCACTGGCTGAAATACTAGACAAGCACTTTTTCAATTCATTGAAAACTCTGTGGGAAAACCAATAAAATAAAATATAATCAAGAAAATAACAGGAAAAGTTCATCAATGTTTAGGTATAAGATAAATCATAAAGTTGTAATGCCCACAAACTAAGAAAAAATTGGCATGCCTTTAAGATAAGGGCAGTTACCTTTCTCTTCCTTTTAATATGACATTTCTGCACAACTAGTTTTTTTGTTTTACTTTTTCTAATTTTGAAAAGCATTTTCCATACGTCCCTAATGAAGCTTGAAATTAATGTAGCCTTTTCAATTCCTTCTCTGTGCATCAGCATAAAACAGTTTGGATCTAGGAAACATCACAAGGTAGAAGAAGGACAATATTACAGAGGACCATTTCTTTTTTAAGCCTTGAAGCACTGTTTACATTTCCTCAGGATTGATGAAAATGTGGCTGGCTTGTTGCTCCATCTTCTCTGCTTGAGCTGGGCCCGAAATGGCCCGTAAGTCATTAAATTGTCCATTAAATTCTCTTTCTGGTTAAAGATACAGGAGGGGGTGTGCAGGGCTGCTCCACCTACTATGGGATCAAAATACTGCCTTAAAGAGACAAAACAGGGAAGGTAGGGAATTGCTTCTATAAATTCATAAAGCATATATACTATGTGAAGTAATACATATGTTAATCAGCTTGATTTAGCCATTCCACAAGGTATATATGTATTTCAAAACATTATGCTGTACACAATATATATGTAATTTGTCAATTTAAAAAAATTTTTAAGTAAATATGCAGATTACCATCTTACAATTTGTCTACACACAAACACACACACACAGTTTTCACTACACGCTACTTCCTAGAAAAGGAATTAAAAACCTGGAGTCCGAGAACTGTATGTTTTAGTCTTGATTCCATTTACTTGCTGACTGAAAAATAAGAGACAACATCTAGCTCACAGGATTAAAGTTAACAGAAATGAAACTGCTCTGTATATTGGAGTACTCTATTACTACTAAGTAAACAAGAAAAGAAAAGACACAAGAGATCTGGGAAAGAAAAAGAAATAATTTCTTACAAAAACAAAAATGGGTAAGTATGAATTTATTAGTGTTCACTTAATTGTCAGGACACAGGGTTTTTTGTTTTTTTTTTTACTCTTATTTCCTTGTACTTACCATGACAAGAGGCCCAGATTAGGAGGAGAAATCCCCGTCCCTTCTTCAGTGTCCAACAAGGCTCTCTTCTTTCCCTTATGGTGAAGTCTGGGGGTGGGGGGGAAGAGGGGGAAGAAGAAAAAAAAAAGAGGAGGGGAGGCAAAATTGGCAATAGTTTTTCCCCTAATCGGCCATATCCTCACAAAGGTATTGTATATACACAGGCCTAAGAAGCTGATCAGAGTCAGCCAAGAAAAAGTTGATTATCACCCAGCCAATTCCCACTAGTCAAATCCCAATTTGACAGTTCCTTTGTAAAACTCCTGTTAGTCTTAACCTGTTTCTGCAAAAACAGTATCAAAGGCTAACATTCCTAATGTTCGTAGTAAAACAAAAAATATCATAAAACTTGGATGAATAAAGCAACAATTAAAATCAACCTACAGGCCAGGCAAGGTGGCTTAATGCCTATAATCCCAGCACTTTCGAAGGCTGAGGCAGATAGCCTGAGCTCAGAAGTTTGAGACCAGCCTGGGCAACAGAGTGAAACTCTGTCTCAAAAAAAAAAAAAAAAAAAAAAAAAAAAGCTGGTCATGGCAGCACATGCCTGTAGTCCCAGTTACTCAGGAGGATGAGGTGGGAGGATCAACTGAGCCTGGAAGGTTGGGGCTGTAGTATGCTGTGATTACACCACTGCACTCTAGTCTGGGCAACAGAGCAAGACTCTGTCTCAAAAAAATAAATAACATCAACCTGCAAATGCAAAATCATTATTCTTGTAGTATTTTAGGATGTTTTTGTGGTTATCTCTAAATTCAAAATGGATCCCCCATCTGAGGAAACCAAACTGACTTACGAGCAAAATAGGAAAAATAAATTTGCCTTATTACCCAAATATTCTATGCTCTTCTAAAAACTTACAATCTGTACTAATACCTTTACCTGGTTTTATAAGAACAAAAAAGGGGGAAAGAATATCCAACTAGAAACCCAAAAATAGGCTTATACAAAGAGTAAGTAAGTTGCTCTTTTCTTTGAACAGTCTCATGCAAAACCAACATTTCTAGTTTGCTAAGCTTCTGTAACACAGGATATTTCAGGGAGTCTGGGCTTCAATGTGCAGCATAAAACTCTTTTAAGGGCAATGTAAGCAAGGGAACAAGAGAACATAAAAGCAGTAGCAAGGCCCAGATTGTGTTGAGGCATTTTGAGCAGAGGAATGGTAGGAGATGACTTACTCTAAAGAATCATTTTGGCCGGGTGTGGTGGCTCACGCCTGTAATCCCAGCATTCTGGGAGGCCAAGGCAGGCAGATCACGAGGTCAGGAGTTCGAGACCAGCCTGGCCAACATAGTGAAACCCCATCTCTACTAAAAATACAAAAAATTAGCAGGGCATGGGGGTGTGTGCCTGTAGTCCCAGCTACTCGGGAGGCTAAGACAGGAGAATAACGTGAACCTGGGAGGCAGAGGTTGCAGTGAGCCGAGATCACGCCATTGCACATCCAGCCCAGGTGACAGTGTGAGACTCAGTCTCAAAAAAAAACCAAAAAAACAAAAAAAAGAATCATTTTGGCTGTTGGGTAGAGAACAGTCAAGGCTACTGGGGGTAAGGGGCAAAAGAAGACCAATTAGAAAGCGTCATTAACCCCAGCAAGAGACAATATAGCAATGAAAAGGTAGTAGAGATAGAAGTGGTGGGATGTTACTGATTCTGGATATACTTTGAAAATACTGCCCATAGGATTTGAGTGGATTAATTAAATAGGATAGAAAAAGAGAAGTCAAGCTTTTTGTGTCAGCAACCGGAAGCAAGGATTTTCTATTTATTGATGAAGAGCATTGTAAGAAAAATCTATTCTTCTCGTGCCATGCAGAGACAGCTCAACGGACAAGGAACAAGAAATTAAAGTTTCCATTTTAGACACATTATGTTTGAAAACCTATCACATATCCAAACAAAGATGCCAAGTAAAGTGCTAGTTAAACCAGACTAGAGATCAAGAAGATGGAGCCTAGAGATATAAACATAAATGTGGGAGACATCAGTGTGTGAATGGCATTAAAGCCAAATGCAGGAGCAAGTATAAATGGAGAGGCTAAGATGACTAAGGACAGGGGTTTTGGGTGCACCATTTTTTAGAGGCTGGAAGGATGAGGAAGAACCTTATGGTTCAGTAACAGACCAAGTTGGAGTCATCATTCTTAACCACTCTTCAAACCAAGCCAAACTTTTGTGATTTGGCCTAGCTCAAGAACTGAAACTAATGTAAAATTATCTCATTTATTCATTCTTTTCAATAAATATTTATTCAATATTTTCTACACTCCATGCACTGTTGTAGACTTTGGGGACACCACTGTGAACAGAAATTCATGGAACTTGATTTTATTGTTGGTCTTTCTCATTAGAAACAAAGAAACAGATAACTAATGTTAAGCAGTAGGCAACTGCTGCAAAGAAAATTAAGCAGAGTTTGGTGATGGTGTAACAGAAATGCTACTTTAGATAGGAAGGTAAAGATGTGCAAAAAGGCACTTATTGGAATTAAAAAGGAGAAGGGCAAAGGCAGAGAAAATTTGAGGGTATGAACTTATTAAAAGAACGGGATACTGTTATAAAGAACCTTTTCAAAAAAGAAACATACTGAATTACTTTTAAAAAACTGTCCTAATATTACACAAAAGATATTTGTGTTTTAGAATAAAATTTCTAAAGATAGCATCATTGACACATTCAAACTGCTGTATCTTAAACAATTTAAATGGAAGTGAATTTAATGCATTTTGCAAAACTATTAAATAACAAAATATAACTCCAGTGAGGAAGATACTAATGTCAGATGTAGATGGAATGTGAAGGTGAAACCCCCATACACTGCCGGCAGGAATGTAAAGTGGTACAACCTCTGAGGAAAAGTGTGGCAGTTCCCAAAAAAGTTTAGAGTCATCATATGTCCCATCAGTTCCACTCCTGGGTATATACCTAAGAGAACTGACAAGGTATGTCCACATAAAAACTTCTACACAAATTTTCGTAACAGCATTATTCATGATGGCCAAAAGTGCAAACAACCCAAATATGCATCAATCAATGAATGGACAAACAAAATGTGAATGGATAAACAAACAAAAAATACACACACACACACACACACACACACACAGTATATATAATGGAGTTATCCAGCAATAAAATGGAATAAAATACTGATACATGACACACATAGATGAAAACATTATGCTAAATGAGAGAACCTGGGGCACAAAAGGCCATATATTGTGTGATTCCATTTGTATGAGATGTCCAGAAAAGGTAAATCCACAGAGACAGAAAGTAGATTAGTGGTTGCCAGGAGCCAGGTTGAGGGAAGAATAGGGAGTGACTGCTAATGGGTACAAGGTACCTTTGCAGGGTGATGAAATGTTTGGAATTAGGTAATGGTAATGGTTCTACAGCTTTATGACTATACTAAAAACCACTGAATTGTATACTTTAAAAGGGTGGATTTTATGTGATATGACTTATAGCTCAAAAAAAAAAAAATACAGAAGCCATGTGCAGTGGCTCACTCTTATAATCCTAGCAATTTGGGAGGCCAGGACAGGAAGACAGCTTGAGCCCCAGAGTTCAACGCCAGCCTGGGCAACATAGCAAGACTGTCTCTACTGAAAAAAAAAAAAAATTAGGTGGTTGTGCACACCTGTAGTCCTAGCCACTTGGGAGGCTGATGTGGAAGGATCCCTTGAGCTCAGGAGTTCAAGGCTGCAGTGAGCTTATGCTACTGCACTCCAGCCTGAGTGACAGAGCAAGACCTTGTCTCTAAAAAACATGCGCGCGCGCGCGCATGCACACACACACACACACACACACACACACACACACACACAACAGAGGTGAAGAGTAACAATATAATCAAACTCTTCATAAGATAAAAATAAACGCTGCAAAAAAGTTACAGTATCAACCCAGCAGCAATGAGCATTCTAAGCCCCTAGACTGTGGTCCCTAAAGACTAATTCCCACTTCAAAAGAAGATGGGGCACCTGAAAGAAAATATAACCAATTCCAGGTCTAGAAAAGAAAATGTACAATTTGATTCTGAAACATCATATTAAACTGGAATGTAAGAAACATATAAAAGACTACTGAGGGTAAGTCAGAAATAATTGGGAGTCAATTTGAAGAGACTCACTAGCTAAAAATGAAATAATTTGAGCAAAATGGTTAAATGCAATGGATTGGGTTTCAGGATGTTTAAATATGAGTTCATAAAGAAACATTCTCTCTCTCACACACACACAGAGACAGACACACACACACACACACACACACACACACACACACACACACACACGCACACCCCTACAGGTCACCAGTGGAAGATGTTAAGGAACTAACCTTTTATTTTTGAAAACTAGCAAGTAAGGGGAAAGAATCAAGTATCTATCCCGCCTTTCTTACACAAAATGAACTAGTATAGAATGAAGTAGTTGATGAGGGAAGAATTCTACCTAATATACAAAGAAAAGAATTTGATAATACTATTTTACAACTGCTAATGAAATACAAGATGCAAATAATAATCTAGTCTATGGAAAACTACAGGAAAATAACCCCTATTCTTTAAATAGCAAGACAAAAGACCGACATAGAAGGGAAACCTACAGAATTAAGAGAGACTTAAGTGACCATGTCAACCAACTGCAATATATAGATCTTATTTGGATTCTTATTCAAAGTATAAGCTGAGACATCTATTAGGGAAATCTGACCACATACTAAATATCTGATGATATTAAGGAGTTATTAATTTTCTATATAATTGACAATGTTACTGTGGTTATAGGTTTTTGTGTGTGGTGATGGGTTTTTAAAAAGAATTTATCTTTTAACTATAAAATACATAAAGTTATATACCAAGGAGTAGGCAGAATGAGTAGGAGTACCTCTGAAACAAGATGGGTCATGAGTTGGTAACTTTTGAAGACCAGTGAGATAAGTTAATGGAGATTTATTAAACTATTTTCTCTACTTTTATATATTTGAAATTTTCACATAAAGTTTTTTTAACCATAATGGCAATTCTACCTCAAAACCTCCAGTTATTGAAGAATTAATTTAAAGAGTCAAAGTTTTATCTCTCATGAAACCACTGTTTATACAGTAAGCCTATCAATATGCACTGTTACGTCTTTCAGATTTTTTTCAGAGAAATCTGAAAAAACTCTCACAAGCATCCCGGATGTCCCAACTAAAATGTACTCATCTGTAGTGACACTGAACTAGAAATCAAATTCCAATTACAAAATAAACTCTCAATCTGCAGTCACATTATATATATATACATAAGCTATCTTCCCAGTCAAATCTAATTTGTTTTGTTTTGTTTTGTTTTTGAGACAGAGTCTCGCTCTATCGCTCAGGCTGGAGTGCAGTGGTGCGATCTCAGCTCACTGCAACCTCTGCCTCCCGGATTCAAGTGATTCTGGTGTCTCAGCCTCTCAAGTAGCTGGGATTACAGGCATATGCCACCATGCCTGGCTAATTTTTGTATTTTTAGTAGAGACAGGGTTTCACCATGTTGATCAGGCTGGTCTCAAATTTCTGGCCTCAAGTGATCTGCCTGCCTTGGCCTCCCAAAGTGTGTGAGCCACCACACCTGGCCTACTCTAATTTTTTAATGAGTACAGAAATACCAAGACAAAGATTTGCCACTCGGCATTAAAAGTCTCAATTTAAACATAGTCTTCACCCAGAAATAAGGCCTTCCATTTCTATACCAAATAGATTCTGTAAAATGATGTTCTTTCTGCACTGCAGTCAGTCAAAATTTACCAATAATCTAGTATGTGTTAGACAGTATGACACTGTTAGCTCTGCATTAATACAACTTATATACCATCGCAGAAGACAGAAAAAGATGGTAATAATTACAAATTGTGCTAAATGTGATAAAGGAAACAAACGGGATGCTGAGACAGGGACTGGGGTTTGGGGGTACCGAAGACCTACTTTAGATAAAGTGATCAGAAAAGACTACTTGGTGGGGCAAGGCCAGTTTCTAATATACGGAAGTGCATGTGTTCCTCAGACAGGAAAGACCTTGATAATTTTGAAGAACTAAAAGGAGGAAACCATTGTAGCTAAACTGTACCGAATCAGAAAGAAGAGTGGCACAACTTGAAGTTGGAGAAATGTAAAGGAAAAGATCATGTGAATAGTAGTAAGTTTAAAATACAGTCCAAATACAACAGGGAGCCATTGACAGGTTTTAAATAGCAGAGTGACGTGATTTGATTTTAAGATCACCCTGGTTGATGTGGGGTGAATGGATTAAAAGAGAAAAAGAATAAAGAAGAGAACCAGGAGACAATTACAGTAAGAGACTAGTGGCTTGATTTAGAATGGAGGCAGTACGGATAAAAGCCTAAGTATGTGAAAGATATCCTGGTGTGTAACTCACAGGTTTAGGTAGAGGCCTAGATGTGGCAGCAAAGGGAGATTAAAGAACTTACAGTCCAGAGGAGACAAGAAATAGTTAAAATAGTTCAAAGTAAGAGGTGCTGCTTTAAGTATCTGAGAAAAGTTAAAACTGCTATAGGAATTCCAAATCCATAAGAAAAAGCCAAGATCACAGGAAACTGTGCAACCCATCAGAATCAAGTACTTGCTAAAGGTTCCTTTTAAAACTAGAAAGAGCATTAGACCACTCTGGGTATTATGTAAAATAACAAACAAACAAACAAACAAAAAACACTACAAATCGCAGATGTGACCAATCCTTAGGAAATATTCAGGGTTCATTACAGCACCTGACTTGTAAAATGTGAACCCCACAGTGGTAGTTATACCAACAGTACAAAAGGAAGAAATTGAGTCATTACTGTTAGTCTGATAAGCAGTGTAATACTTCTTAAAATTAGATATACGAGTAATGCATGCACTCAGTAAATAAGATACAGATGTAAAAAGTAAACAAGTAACCTCATACTCTGCTAGTGAGAATGTAAAATAGTGCAGCCTCTTTGAAAAATAGCCTGGCAGTTGCTCAATTAAACACAGAGTTACCATTTGACTCAACAATCTTACTCCTAGGTATATATCCAAGAAAACAAAAACATGTCCATGTAAAATCTTGCAAATACATGTTTATAGCAGATTTATTCAAAGTAGCCCAAAGGTGGGATGGGCTATTTTGAAGCACGTATTAGTACTTCATTCCTCTTTTTTTTTTTTTCCACTACAGGGTCTCACTCTCACCCAGGCTACTGGTGTGCAGTGGCGTGAAGATCTAGGCTCACTGAAACCAAATGTCCATCAACAGATGGATGAATAAACAGAATGTGGCATATCTAAACAATGGCAAATTATTTGGCCATAGAAAGGAATTAAGTGGGCTGGGCACAGTGGCTCACACCTGTAATCCCAGCATTTTGGGAGGCTGAAGAGGGCAGATCACAAGGTCAAGAGATCGAGACCATCCCGGCCAACGGTGAAACCCCATCTCTACTAAAAGTACAAAAATTAGCTGGGCATGGCAGTGCATGCCTATAGTCCCAGCTACTTGGGAGGCTGACGCAGGAGAATCACTTGAACCCGAGAGACAGAGGTTGCAGTGAGCCGAGATCGCACCATTGCCCTCCAGCCTGGTGACAGAGCAAGACTCATCTCAAAAAAAAAAAAAAAAAGGAATTAAGTGGCCAGACACAGTGGCTCATGCCTATAATCCCAACACTTTGAAAAGATGTAGTCAGCACACTGCTTTTACCCAGGTGTTTGAGACCAGCCTGGGCAATATGGTGAAACCCCACCTCTACAAAAAACACAAAAATTGAGCCAGGCATGGTGGCTCATGCCTGTAATCCCAGCACTTTGGGAAGTCCAGGGAGGTGGATCACTCAAGGCCAGGAGTTCGGGACCAGCCCGGGCAACATGGCAAAACACCATCTCTATAAAATAATAATAAAAGAAAAAAAGATAAAAAATACAAAAACTAGCTGGACGTGCTGGCATGTGCCTGTAGTCCCAGCTACTCGGGAGGCTGAAAGTGGGAGGATCACTTGAGCCCAGGATGCAGTGGCGAGGTTTCAGTGAGCCCAGATCTTCATGCCACGGCACACCAGAAGCCTAGGCAACAGAGTGAGACCCTGTCTCAAAAAAAAAAAAAAAAGAAAAAAGAGAGAAAGGAATGAAGTACTGATACATGCTTCAACGTGAATGAACCTTAAAAACATTATGCTAAATGATGAAGCGAGTCACAAAAGACCACATATTGTTATGATATCATTTATATGAAATGTCCAGAACAGGAAAATCTTAGAAAGCAGATTAGTGGGTGCCAGGAGCTGGGAAAGACCGACGGTAAGAGAGGTTGACAGCTATGAAGTTCTGTTTTGTTTTGGAGACAGGGTCTTGCTCTGCTGCCCAGGCTGGAGTTGCAGTGCTGTAATCACAGGATCATGGTTCACGGCGGCCTCAACCTCCTGGGCTCCAGCGATCTTCCTGCCTCAGCCTCCAGAGTAGCCAGGACCACAGGTGCAAGCCACCACACCCGGCTATTTTTATTTTTGTGGGGGGAAAAGGGGAGGCTCACACCATGTTGTCCAGGCTGGTCTCAAATTCCCAACCTCAAACAATCCTCTCACCTTGGCCTCCCAAACTGCTGGGATTACAGTCATTAGCCACCACACCTGGCCTGAAGTTTCTGAGGTGAGGAAAAGGTCCTAAAATGGACTGTGGTGATGGCTACACAACTTCGTGAATATACTGAGCCACTGAACTGTACACTTTAAATGGGTGAATTGTATAGTATGTGAATTTTATGTTATTAATATATCTGAGTTAAACTTATTTAAAAAAAATTGGTAAGCAGAAGTTCGCTTTTCACTCCTTACTGCCCTTTAGTTCATCTACATGTAAATATAGCAACTGTTAACTATTTCATAAGTCTATCCAGACAGTTCTCTATGCACATACAGTCAAGCTTCGCTTAACAATGGAGACATGTTTTGAGAAATGCATCATTAGCAGATTTAGCTGTTGTGCAAACATCACAGAGGTATTTATACAAACCTAGATGGGACAGTCTACTACACACCTAGGCTATATGGTATAGCCTGTTGTTCCTAGGCTACAAACCTGCACAGCATGTTACTGTACTGAATACTGTAGGTAACTGTAACACAGTGCTCCCTATTTGTATATCTAAACATACATAAACAGAGAAGATACAGTAAAAATGATACAAAAGATTAAAATGGTACACTTGTATAGGACAACACTTACCATGAATGGTGCTTGTAGGACTGGAAGTTGCTCTGGGTATGTCAGTGAGTAGTGAGTGAATGTGTGAAGGCCTAGGACATTACTGTACACTTCTACAGACTTTATAAACACTATACAACTAGGCTACACTAAGTTTATTTTTAAAAAGTAATTGTACCAAGACATTATGACAACTACAACTCCACTAGGTGATAGTTATTTTTCAGTTCCATTTTAATCTCATGAGGCTACCATCGTATCTTGGGTCTGTTGCTAACCAAAACATCATTATGTGGCACATGAGTGTACAAAGACACACATTATCTACCCCCAAAATGGGTGGGGTGGGGTAGCCATACTGTAGTTTCTTCAGTATATATTCTTTAATTAATATAACAAATCCCTCCTATGTCAGTATATACATATGGCAGTTCAGTATTCCATTATACCCCAATGTATCATAACTTAACCATCCATCAATTAGTGAGACATTTAGGTTGTTTCCATTTTTCCATTGCCACCAAAAAAGCCGCAACAACCACCCTTATCCATATCTATGCACAAGTCGCTATTTCTGTAGCCCTAATTATTCTTAAAAATGAATATACTAGGTAAAAGCATATAAATTTGGGGGAAGGGTTGCAGAGGGGTTATTATTGCCAAAGACTACATACTCTTCTATTTAAAAAAAACACAACACATATTTATCAACTTGCCATAAGTTTTCAATGTTCTGTAATTTTAAAAGTTAAAATAAAAATATGCCTAAGCATTGTCTGTATTAATTCCAAAGTATGTTTATACATACACAAAAAACTATATAATGGTTAACAATCTACCTTCCTAGGGAAGAGAGTGGGAGCAGCAACTTTCAGTTTTTAAACTTTTAAAACATTTGCAATTAGGATAACAAATTTTTCTACAAAAAAAGCTTTTAAACAGAAAACTCAAAATAAGTTTTAATGAAAGGTTTTCATTTAAACTCAGAGTGTTAAGATAATAGCCTCAAGAAAAAACAATCAGGAATGTAAAGCAATGGCCCTCAGGGCTGCCATATACTAACTCTATGACCTTGAGAGCAAATCATACTACCTCTCTGAGCCTCAGTTTCTTCATCGAGAAAACAAGGAGAACAATCATTGCATCAAAGAATTGTGAGAATTAAGATATAATGCATATAACATGCTTAGAATAGTTACTGGCATGTAATAAGCACTTTTTAAATTAGTATGTACATGTACATACATATGACAACACATGGTTATATAAAGACTGTACTTCATTAAATGTTTCATTACAGAGAATTTGGATAGGACAGTTTCCAACACTGTCTCCTTTTTTGTTCGCGCATATGCACGTGCATTTTTTTTGAACCATTTAAAAGAGGCTTGCATACAAATATCTCTTTAATTCTTACTACTTCAGTATGTATTTCCTAAGAAAGATAATCTCTCATATAACCACAGTTCTAGTTTCAATTTCAGAAAATTTAACACTGATATAATAATCTACCATATCTATTCCAATTTTGTCAATGAATCCAATCATATCCTTTATCCTTCACAGCAATATTCCCCCCTTTGGTAAAGGATCTAGTCTGGGATCATATATTGAAGCTATTTTTATATCTCTTTAGTCTCCTTTAATCTGGGGCACATATTAATTAAACAGTATGTTTCCTGGCATCAAAATTAAATACATTTACATCTTTCTCTTCAAACCTAGATCATGCTTCTTCAGATAAGAACGTGGCCAGGGGCAGTGGCTCACACCTGTAAGACCAACACTATGAGAGGCTGAGGCAGGAGGATCACTTGGGCCCAGGAGTTCAAGACCACCCTGAGCAACATAATGAGACCCTAGTCTCCACAAAAATAAAAATAAAAACAAATTAGCCTAGCAAGGTGGTACATGCCCATAGTCCCACCTACTCAGGAGGCTGAGGTGGGAGGATCACTTGAGCCCAGGAGATCGAGGCTGCAGTGACCCATGATCACACCACTGCATTCCAACATGGGCAAGAGTGAGACCTTGTGTCAAAAAAAAAAAAAAAAAAATTAACACTTTTACAAATTTACATTATTATGGCAATACAAATATTAAATGCTACAGAGCCAAGTAATATGTTACTACGTTTCTGGCCAGCACAGTGGCACACATCTGTAATCCCAGCACTTTGGGAGTCTGAGACAGATGGATCACTGGAAATCAGGAGTTCGAGACCAGCCTGGCCAACATAGTGAAACCCCGTCTCTACTAAAAACACAAAAATTAGCCAGGAGTGGTGGAGCATGCCTGTAATCCCAGCTACTCAGGAAGCTGAGGCAGGAGAATTGCTTGAACCCAGCAGGTGGAGGCTGCAGTGAGCTGAGGTCGCGCCACCACACTCCAGCCTGGGTGACAGAACAAGACTCTGTCTCAAAAATAAATACGTAAATAAAATAAAAAGGATTACATTTCCTTCACTACAGATCTAATCTGCAACACTCCCCCACCCCCCTGGCTAAATGAAGATTAAGATTCCTATTCCAAGCCTGAAGGTGAAATAACCTTTCTTTCCTTAATATATGAGAATTTGACAGCTGGAACCTGCATGCTTCTCTCAGCTCCATCATCAGTACCACCCCATGATATGACTTCTCAGAAATCTTTACAGAAGCAAACCAACATTTAATCTTCCTACTGAACATGGAATCTCATCTTTCAGGCACCTGTTAAAGAGAAATTACTCAATTCCTTATCAAAAACTAAAACTTATACTTGCAAAGAATACCTCAAGTAATACACGGAGCAACTTGGACTACAAGGGCACAGATTATATATACCCTATGATCCTCCACTATACAGAAAAGTGGGGAAAAAACAGTAACCTAAATCAACAAGACTATGCTGACCAATCTCTACTAAAACCAATCTATTCTCCTCCCCTATTCTTACCAAAACAAAAACCCTAGTCAAGAAGAATTTATACTGAGAAGGCATTGGTATCCCAGGAGTCTAGGAGTGTTTCTGTGAACTGACAATTCAAATATCAATATAGTTCTTGCCTTCAAGGGCATTCCCAATCCTGTGGGGGTGACCAACAAATATAACTAATAAGACAAGAGTATGTTAAGAGATACAGAAATTTAATTCCATGGTAATGCAAAAAGCAGAGAAAGAGATTCTGAGCTGGGCACTTAAGGAAGACTTTCTGGAAGACTCAAGCTTTTAATAACTGAACCAGCCAAATTTTGAGCCACTGAGACAAGAGGGGAGCAGGAATGGCATGGCGGCAGAGTAAGACAAAAAAGCACCTTGGAGAGTATTTGAGAGACAGGAGGTAGGTCGGTGTGGCTACAAGAGATGAACTTGGTACACAGAGAAAACAGGTGACAAGCTGTTTGAAGCCTACCTGTAAAGAACCTGAAATGTTATGCTAAGGAGTTTGATCCTTGTTCTAGAGGCAATAGCAAGGCAACAGTTCCTGAACAAGGAAATGATCTGGATTTAGGAACTTAAAACCAAGGCAATAACTTGTCTTCTAATAAAACTGTACTACAGTTCCCTAAACAGGTGGCAGAAACAAGAGGCACTAATAAAGATTTACCTAGTAAGAGACACACAAAGGTCTATGAAAAGGACATTTTTTGAAAAAGGACAAGGTTTAGTAGCCACACTGGAGAAAGAACTCGCAAATTTTTCAGAACTTGTTTTTCTCATTAAAATTCATATTTGCACTACAGTAATCCCCTGCCTTATCCTCGGGGAATATGTTCCAAGACCCCCTGTGGATCCCTGAAACTACAGGTAGTACTGAAAACTACATACATATATATATATATAGTTTTTCCTCTACGTATGTACCTATGATTAAGTTTACTTTATAAATTAGAAACAGTGACAGATTAACAACAACTAATAACAAAATAGAACAAGCAACAATACACTATAATGAAAGTCATATGAATGTGTAGTGTCTCTCTTTCTTGCTCTCTTGATATTTTAGTACTTTTGGACCTTGGATAACTGAACCTTGGAAAGCAAAAGAAGGTAAGGGGGAACTGCTGAACTAACTCTAGTAATAAGAGGTCTTATTTTTCATATAGATATATACCAATTTAAGAAAACTCAAAACAAGAAGCAAGTTTGAATTTAAAAGAACTATATCAGCCTGGGCAACAGAACGAGATCCTGTCTCTACAAAAAAAGTTTCCAAACTAGCCAGGCCTGATGGCACACACCTGTAGTCCCAGCAACTGGGAGGCGGAGGCAGGAGGATTGCTGTAGCCCAGGGGTTCAAGGCTGCAGTGAGCTATAATCACCTAACTGTACTCCAGCCTGGGAAACACAGCAAGACTGTCTCAAAAAATATATCAATAAATAAATAAATAAATAAATAAATAAATAAATAAATAAATACAACTGGAGATTGATAAATCTATTTATTTTAGACAAATGATTAGTGCTGCAACTCAAAATCTCAACTTAAATACAAGTTTTCCAGTACACTATTACAGTGCAATTATATATAGAAAAAGTGACCTGGTATGAGTCCTAGTGAAAAAAAAAAATAATCACATGTAAGGACATTAAAGTGAACATAGAAAAACTCATCTAAATAATCATGGACATTGACAAACAGATCCCCAAAAATCAACCTGTAAATTAATTTTTCCTTGCCTCGAAACAGCACAGAGAGAGTATTGGAGGGGGGCGGGGGTGGCAGGAGGGGAGAAACAAACTTACCAAATGAAGTTTGTCCCAAGAACTTTTTCTACTAGGAGGTTTCACAAGGAAGTCTGCAAAAGAAAAAACAGTTATTTTATAATGACAAATATCCTAAGAATCAAGTTAAGCCACTTAGATCTCCCCACAAGACCTTTCTCTACCAGTCATAATGCTATGACAATGAGATTTTTAAATTGGTGCAACATGGAGTATTTAGTCAACCACAGATTTTAGAATGTTTATAACTGCACAGAACAGACCCAGTCAAGCCTTAGCATGCCTTCAGAAATTGCAGAACTGTAGAGAACAGAGCTTTTCAAACCCCACAGAGAGGCTTATTTAAGTTTTTCTCAGTCAAGCAAGCATCATTTCTGGTGGCTTCTTGGGTAAATCGTTGCCAATACAGGAACAGGTACTTTACAAAACTAAAAAGATCACAGACACTCCAGGCTTGGACTTATTTTAAGGTGTTTTGTACACATAATTGGCTTCTATCAAGGGATCTGACCTTTTGTTTAAGAAAAAGGGTAAGGAGAATATGGTAGAAAAACAAAGAATTCAGCCAGGCACGGTAGCTCACACCTGTAATCCCAGCACTTTGGGAGGCCAAGGCAGGCGGATCACTTGAGGTCAGGAGTTAGAGACCAGCCTGGTGAACATGGCAAAACCCCGTCTCTACTAAAAATACAAAAATTAGCTGGGTGTGGTGGCATGCGCCTGTGATCCCAGCTATTCAGGAGGCTGAGGCAGGACAATTACTTGAACACGAGACGTGGAGGTTTCAGTGAGCCGAGATCACGCCACTGCACTCCAGCCTGGGCAATAAAGTGAGACTCTGTCTCAAAAAAACAAAACAAAAACAAAGAATTCTTGTCACCAGTAGGCAACAATCTGAACTTTACAGAGACAAAACATCTAACCGACCTGTTCCTTTGTGACAATTTCTCTAAAGTTGTGCAAACACGACTCATCCATTTGAGCTGTTTAAATGACATGGAGTCACATAAATGAACAAGATTGCTCAGAATATCAAAACTCTGAAATTAAGAAGTCAAGGCCAGGCGCGGTGGCTCATGCCTGTAATCCCAGCACTTTGGGAGGCCAAGGTGGGTGGATCACCTGAGGTCAAGAGTTCAAGACCAGCCTGGCCAACACAGCGAAACCCCAGCTCTACTAAAAATACAAAAATTAGCTGGGTGTGGTGGGGCACACCTGTAGTCCCAGCTACTCAGGAGGCTGAGGCACAAGAATCACTCAAACCCGGGAGGTGGAGGTTGCAGTGAGCTGAGATTGCGCCACTGCGCTCCAGCCTTGGCGACAGTGTGAGATTCCATCTCAAAAAAGAAAAGAAAAAAAAAGTCAGTAAAATATGGTACATTATTAACTAAGAACCATAAAGGAAAGCTAAATATGCAACAATGAAGTGTCTTAACCATTTTAAACATAATATTTTTGTCTCCCCAATAACTTTTATGTTTTATAACTCAGGCCATATTATTCACACACACTATATGACAATGAAAACAGCTACTCATAATTTGCAACTTCAGAGACGAACTGTATTTAGTATGAAGACCAGTCTTGCTATTAAGTATTTAGTATGAAGACCAGTCTTGCTATTAAGTTGCTTAACTAAGTATTAAATACAACATAGTACAGCAGGAAAGTTGAGGGATTTGTAAATCTGTAGAACCTTTTCCTGCAAGAGTATAATTCTACCTGAGTATTTGCATGAAATATATACTATTACAAATTATTTTCCTTTTTATTTTTCCTTTTTATTAGAGCAAGGACATTATATTGCTTTTTAAAAATTATGTCTGGCCGGGTGCAATGACTCATACCTCTAATCCCAACACTTTGGGAGGCTGAGGCAGGAGGATCACTGGAGCCAGGAGCTCAAGACCAGTCCAGGCAACATGGGAAGACCTCATCTCTATAAAAATTTAAAAAGCTGGGCATAGCAGTACACACCTGTGGTCCTAGCTACTCAGAAGGCTGAGATGGGAGGATGGCTTGGGCCCGGGAGGTCAAGGCTGCAGTGAGCCACAATGGTGCCACTGCACTCCAGCCTGGCCAACAAAGTAAGACCCTAGATTGTCACAAGAACAACAACAACCAACAAAATAATGGAAAAAAAGGAAGCAGAGCAAGTTGTTAAAAATAACTGAAAAATTTTAAGGCTTATGGTAACTAGAAAAAGGATATTATCATTAAGAAATGAAGGGTAGATCCCAATGAAGTTATCGAGCTATGATATGCTGGCTTTAACAGTGACCTCCCAAGTAGATGTACGTCCAACAGGTAAATTGGGGGAGAAATGGTTCAAGAGACAGGTCAAGTCGAAGGGCAAGAATGAATTGATGGTGCTAGATTTAATTCAGGAAAATCACTATATCTGCTGTAAAAGCTATCTGACATGTTCTAAAAATCACGTGATAATTTATTCTGTCAAAAAGATGAGGTATCTTCAGTAATACAGAAGTGTTTGTGTAAAGTTTCCACAGGTGCTGATTAACTTCCAAGAGATGGACCAAACGAGAGATTCAACAGAAAAGGTTCGAGTAGGTGGGCTTAATGCTGGCAAAGACTATTCTTCCCAGTAACCACAGTCAAACATCTGCTTGGTTAGAAACAGTGTGTCATTGTGAAACATTGCGAGCAAATTAAAAACTGCTCATGCCTCTTAGGACTATTTGTCAGATAAGGGCCATGTAGACAGGGCGTGGTGGCTCATGCCTATAATCTTAGCACTCTGGGAGGCCGAAGTGGGAGGACTGCTTGAGACCAGCCTATACAACAAAGAAATACCCCCATCTCTACAAAAAATAAAAATAAAATAAAATAAAATTTTTTAATTAGCCAGCCATGGTGGCACACATTTGTAGTCCCAGGTACTCGGGAGGCTGAGGCAGGAGGGTTGCTTGAGCCCAGGAGTCCGAGGTTGCAGCGAGCTATGATTACAATGCTGTACTCTCAGCCTGGATGACAGTGAGACCTCGTCTCTTTTAAATTTAAGAGACAAAAAAAAAAAAAAAAAAAAAAAAGACTCATTTGAAAGAAAAAAAAAGGGCCAAGTAGAGGTGAGTCTGAAAGAAGCTCTCTGGTACCATAAGGTACCTTCCCATGATACCAGTCATGTATATACCTTAAGGAATAAGAGTAGTTATGTTTGGGTAACCTTGAACATTCACGTATTAGTAGAGGTAGCAGAATGTAATGTGGTTGCATTAAATCTAAGCAATTACCTAAAAATAACAAGGGATGCTTAAACACATTAAGCACTAACGAACAGACAAACAGGGAAGAGGGGTGGGCAGGGTTGTTAGGTTCCATCTCCAAGAGGGGTATAAATAAATACACCTTTCTGGAAGTTATCTGAAATAAGAGGGTAAAACTTTCACCATCACATATTGGTACACATATTGTCCCATATGGACAGGATTTTGTCCATTGTAAAAGATAACCCTGAAGGAGTAAAAATATACTAAATTATTAAATACTACAGTATTGGATATCATCATGCAGCTTTCACTGGAGAGGGGGACCTAACACAATATACTCTAAGTCCCTTTCTGTAAAATAATGAGGTAATGACTAAAACGAAGGGCACAGAGGCCCTAAGAAGGCCAAAAAGGAATGGACATATTTAGCACCTACACAGAACTGTTTATGTGATCATCGATGTGCCACCTAGCACATCAGCTTCAACAAGGGCAAAGAGGCACACCAATTTGTACCGTTTATATAATAAAAGAACCCCAGCTACAAAAACTAGTAAGTCTGAACCAAATTCATGAGGGAAAACTAAGAGGCTCTGGCCAGGCCTCCTAAAATGTTGAGGGGTACTGGGGACTAAAGCAGCACTTTTTTGGCTGAGATACACTTTAACTTCAAAAGAACAACAGAATACTTTCTACATAGTCTTGTCTTTCAAATGAACGATAATTAAGAGTCAAAACCTTAAGAAGGCAACACTGAATAATTTTAAAACAATCTTTTCACTTTCGCTGTTAAAATAGATTTTTTTACACATGCATTTAATATTAAGAAACAGATCCAGAGAAAAATTTGAGTGTAGAGGCAGTATTTTAAAAATTCAAGAGGTGCAAAATTTTAAGAAGTAGATTTACAACCGCCACAATTTTAGGTGATTTTTTTCAGCTTGTTAGTGTTTCCTTTCTTATGTCTATTAACTTTTCACATATCAGAAACTAGAATTCTGTAGCATGTTGGGTAAGACCATTCTATGGTGGGAAGAGAAATTAATCATGAGCATTAACCAAAACCCACTGTGTAAAACTACTATAGGTTAGTCTTACTCCCTGCTCAAATTTTCTAAAACCTCTGTTGTTGAAGTCAACTATAAATGAAAACAGACGAGCAGAGAGTTAAAAGCATGGCTACATTCAGCTACTGTGGTAAGTGGTGGATGTTCATTCATCGTGTTTTTCTGAGTGATGGGCACTATTCTAGGAACTAGAAATACAGCAATGAACAAAACAAAGTTCCTACCCTTACACAACTGCCATTCCAGGGTCAGGTGTGATATCCTCACAGGGCTCAACGCTCCTAGTGTGACTTTTTCCCTATTGATGACCATGCATTGAAAAAGATAAAACAAATATAAATATAAAATTCTGTCATTGTCCTGGTTCAATGAGACCTCCAACTAACATGATTTTAAAAAAAAAAACACACACACACACCAGAAGCTATGTGTCTTTTCTATCTCTTTGGAAACATTAAGGTCTGGAAGTTTTCAGGGTTCCAGATGCAACTTCATGATCAGCATACTGCATTACTCTGCCAGCTGTGGGGCACAGATAAGCTGCTAAAATATTATCATTTCCTAAGCAAGAAACAACCATCCTCTCCCGAGGGGGAAAAAAATCTAGTAAGTTGTCAGAATCCAAGCTGAACTCCAAGTTATAATCATTTCTTGTATCAAAAAACCTTTACTCAAGGCGGGTAGATGGCTTCAGCCTAGGAGTTCGAGACCAGCCTCGGCAACATGATGAAACCATCATCTACAAAAAAACCCACAAAAATTAGCTGGGCGTGGTGGCACATGCTTGTAGTCCCAGCTACTAGGAGGCTGAGGTGGGCGGATTACTTCAGCCCAGGAGGCAGAGGTTGCAGTGAGCCATGATCGAGCCACTACACGACACTCCACTTGATAGAGTGAGAGACTGTCTCAAAAAAAAAAAAAAAAAACCTTTACTTGTAATAAATCACTTGAACCAGCAACACTTAAGATAATTTCCACTATTAACAAGTGAAAACTCTGTTTCAATAGATAATGACCAAAAGATCAATCATGTGTAAGTATGTAACTACATACGAGGTACAGAGTATGTTGTTTATTCTTCATTTACATAAATTGACCTTTTTAATGTGGGAAAGGTTCTAAATACATTCTTCAAAAGAAGTTCTGCAATAGACAGAATCTGAAACAGTAGATTAGTGATTAATGCTTAAAAATCACTCGTCTTCATTTAGTGGCGTTTCCAGATGTAAACCCAAAAATGTGAGAAATGAAAAGCAAAGTAATTACACACTAACATTTTTAGACAACAGGCTGGTTGCATTTCACATGCACCTTATTGCTTTATACATCTCAACAGGGAAGAGGAGGCAGCCCTGACCATGTTCTCAGAAAAGATTAACTGTAAGTAAACCAACCTTAACAAATTTCATTGTTACCCTTCTAAATAACTTATTTTACAAGCATTTTCCTTTTAAACTCAACCCTTATACAAGAGATAGGGGGTAGGGGAATATCAGCCATATATAATATCTTTAGCAGCAGAAGAGATTAAAACCAAAGATCACATACAATCTGCTAAAAACGGTAAAAATTAAATTTTTAAGAATGAATATAAAAGTATATGTTCTGATTTGCTCCTTATATTCCCTTCTACATGCAGAACACATTCACTTTATACTTTTTTTTTGAGACTGAGTCTCACTCTATGGCCAGGCTGGAGTGCAATGGCGCGATCTTGGCTCACTGCAACCTCTGCCTCCTGGGTTCAAGCAATTCTCCTGCCTCAGCCTCCCAAGTAGCTGAGATTACAAGCTCATGCCACCACGCCCAGCTAATTTTTGTATTTTCAGTAGAGACGGGGTTTCACCACGTGGGCCAGGATGGTCTCCATCTCTTGACCTCGTGATCCACCTGCCTCGGCCTCCCAACGTGCTAGGATTACAGGCGTAAGCCACTGCGCCCGGCCCACTTTATACTTTTAACTCAGATATACTGATATATCATTAACAAGATGGTAAGGAAGTTCTGTAAGTAATCTGTAAAGTTATTTTCTGAATCTATGTCCTCTATGAAATATCACAAGGTAGGCATTATTTTACTATAGAAATTAAGAGTTTAAAATCTAATTTTATAAGGCAGCATTTAGGTTTACCATCTGAAAGAAATGTTCCCAGCCAGTCGTGGTGGTGGCCCATGCCTATAATCCCAGTACTCTGGGAGGCTGAGATGGGCAGATCACGCGGTGAGGAGTTTGAGACCGGCCTGACTAACATGGTGAAACCCCGTCTCTACTAAAAATACAAAAATTATCTGGGCATGGTGGTGTGCATCTGTAATCCCAGCTACTCAGGAGGCTGAGGCAGCAGAATTGCTTGAACCCAGGAGGCGGAGGTTGCAGTGAGCTGAGATCACGCCACTGCACTCCAGCCTGGGCGACAGAGTGAAATTCCATCTCAAAAAATAAAAAAATAAATAAAAAAATAAAAAACAGAAATGTTCCCTATCTCCTAAGGAAAAAACCCTTATAATTTCACAGAAAACAAAAGACATACTTAAATCTGAGTTGTTCAGAAATCATAGAAAATCCAGACATTCAAGCATTAGAAATTAACTGAGTTTAAAGCCACGCAGAATCATTTTATCTAAGTGCCAGAGGTACTTCAATATTTATAACTGCTTTGGAAAGATCAGAAAGACTAGCTCCAGCCTCGGAAAAAGGTTTCCTGACTTTTGTTCTTTTGACTATTTCCAAGGTCTACCTTTGGGAAATTAACAGAAGGCAAATTCTTGCACACTCATTCATGTCCTGCTTCTTGCTCTCAGTTAACCTCTGGTGAAGAGGAAAGAAGTTAACTACAATTCCTCCTGTTCTCCCCGACACCTTGCCCCAAATCAGTGTCTTCAATAGCAATGCCTAAATCAAATGGAAATAAAAGATATTCTAGAAATTCATACTTCCTTGGAAGTATGGAAACTTAAATTTTCCTAATTATAATCTTGTGATGACTTCTGCCCCTCTTAAACATACATAATTTTATCTTTAACACTAGACTGACGACTCTCCTTCCTCCCTCATACCAATCAAAGAATAAAATCTTAATTTCATTTTCTTGGACAAAAAGACCCAAAATAATCAATCTCCACGAAGAGGAGTAGTTTTAAAAACAGGTTCTCAAAAAGTTTTTTTTTAATAAGGCTTAAATTAAGAGCTCCTATTCTCACGTACTCAACAGAAAACTAATCAATGAGACAGGCAGCAAAGGCCAGAAATGTGGAATGTGTGTGTTTTTTGTGGGTTTATGTGTACGTGTGTTGTTTTTTTTTTTTGGGGGGGGGCGCGGGGGACAGAGTCTTACTTTATCACCCAGGCTTGAGTGCAGTGGCATGATCTCGGCTCACTGCAACCTCTGCCTCCTGGGTTCCAGCGATTCTCCTGCTTCAGCCTCCTGAATAGCTGGGACTACATGTGCCTGCCACCGCCACCACACCAGGCTAATTTTTGTACTTTTAGTACAGATGGGGTGTTTCACCATGTTGGCCAGGCTGGTCTCGAACTCCTGACCTCAGGTGATCTGCCCGCCTTGGCCTCCCAAAGTGCTGGGATTACAGGCATGAGCCACCACGCCTGGCGCGCGTGCACGCGCACGCATGTGTGTGTGTTTTAAGACAGGGCCTCGGGGGGGGGGGGGGGGGTGTGTGTGTGTGTGTGTGTGTGTGTGTGTGTGTGTGTGTGTGTGTTTTAAGACAGGGCCTCGCTGTCGCCCAGGCTAGAGTGCAGTGGCATGATTGTGGCTCACTGCAGCATCAACCTTTCAGGCTCAAGCGATCCTCTCACTCCAGCCTCCTGAGTAGTTGGGACTACAGACACATGCCACCATGCCCGGCTCATTTTTACTGTTGTGGTTTTTTGTAGAGATGTGGTCTCATTGGTCTTGAACTCCTAGGCTCAAGCAATCCTCCTGCCTCAGCCTCCCAAAGTGTTGGAATTACAGGCATGAGTCATAGCACCTGGCTGGGTTTTTTGGCTTTTTTTTTTTAGACAATAATATGTTTTTATTATTTCATGATAAAAACATCAGTATCTTTTTGAAAGGTGCAAAATTTACACTGCTTATTCTAATATGCTTTGTTTCTAGATCTTACCACAAAAAGACAAATTTCTAAACTCCATCCTTTTTATATTATCCCTCTCCCTTCACAGTTGCCTAAGAGGTTTCTTTTCCAGGAAGACAACTTAATTTGAAGGCTGGCTTGCCATTAGAACTCAAGAGTACGCCCATGTATAAATAAGCATGCCATTCCTATTCTGTGTAGGTATTTGAGATATTAAACATAAATTCTAGAAGACATTTGGAAGTAAACTACACTAAAAAAATATCTATCAGTATCCCAAACCTAGCTAACCTGCATACTGCTTATCAGTATAAGAATGTTTTATTTTGAATGTTAATGAATGTTAATGTTATTGTCTCCCCATCTGTAAACAAAAAGATTCTTAAAAGTTCTGGCGCCTGCCACACAGTTTTATGCAGAATAACAGACATCAAAAATCGACAAGGACCAGAAAGCTGAATGAAAATGCAGATGCATTCTTTAAGCATACAACTCAACAATGAAAAGGAACAGATTTGAATTTTTAACTGCTGTCATCACAATTGAAAACTGTCCAACTCTAGCTAGCCAAGAGGTACATTCAAAGACAGACAAAATTCAAATACTAGAGGCTATGTGAAATGAAAATAATCCCCTCTTCTACTGGCCTAGTTAAAATTTGTATTCTGGCATTTAGGTAGGGGGCTACTCATATTTTTGAAAACACGCCAATGAAAACACCAACAACCTCCAATAACCACACACCACAATGCAGGCTCTGTTTAAATGATGAGCTCAAATACCTACCCTTTCAAAGCAATTCTCAGATTATTAAATGGCCAAAAGACCAGAAACTGTCTTGACCTGAACACCATCTTCAATTCAACATACCCCCAGAAAAGACCCACCTTTTTAAAATTAGTAATATTTATCTCATGTAAACTAGAGGAATACATGTGACTGCCATCCAAATACATACAGGAAGAAAATGAACTTTTTCAGCTAAAGCCAAAAAGTAGAATTCATCAACATGCTTTACTTAAGGAAGGCAAAAGTACCAAGTTAAATCAGAGCTAACAAGTAGTAAAAGGAATTTCTCCCCGTATGCTTTTAAGTAACTGCATTTAAATCAATGACTCAGAAAAATTCAGACAGACCAAACCTTGAATTTAAAAAATTCTTACACCATCATTTTACTTAACTCAGAAAACTGGGAGGCAGGGTTTTTTGTTTTTTTTTTTTAATTTAGCATACTGGCTAAATTAACTTTTGTCATAAGAGGAAAACTTTCTCAAACATACAGCCTAATAGAAACCTATCCTCATACATTATGGAGTATATTAAGTATATTGTTTATACATCAAAAACTTAAGTACTATACAATTCAGCATTTAAAAAAAACAATCCACACAGACAAATAATTGGAATTCTCAAGTTGCCAACAAGCCTGTGAATTAAGAATAATATTACATTTCCAAAGTCAATCTGAGCTACTTATTTTTCTTGCATTTTCCAACATAAAAATCATTTGTCAAAGGAGCTATGTCGGAAAGAGGAGAAAGAAATAATATGTTTATCCAAGCTCTCTGGTAAAATCAAACCTGTGATTGGATAACAGATTCTGCACTACTACTGTTCAGTCAGAACATGTATATATGTTAAAATGCTGGAAACATAAGAACCTTGGAAAGAACTTACACTTTTTCTTTTCTAATGATTTACATCTTCAACAGTTTCCTTACAATCTAACCTAAACCCTATATTCTAAAGCATATAGTTATTTTTTCAATGGGAGTACTCTATTACCAGTATTTCCATGCCGTGGTATATATTATCATTGGTGATATCTGAGATTAAACAGAACATAAACAAGTATCTTTTTAAGAACTATATTTGCGCTACTGAGCATTTTTAAAATTTTACCTTTTATTCAGTCTGAGATGCCATCAAATTCAAGACACACTATTAATTTACATACCACTAGAAAAAAAAAAAACTTTTCCAATTCAACCATAACATGCCATTGTCTTTAAGATGCACTCCCATTTGGTATACAGATACTGCAAAAAAAATATGCAGGTAGTACATTAATGAGAGGTTTGAATGATATTGCCCTAATACTAATACAAATTCTTCATATAGAGAAACTGCTACAAAAATCATTTCCTCCGGATTCCTTGTTCCCTCATTTTTCTTCATAAGACATTTTTCTAATCCATTAACAGTCTGAAACCATTCATGAACAGGCCTGACCTGGTGCACATGCAACAGGATCAGTCCTTCCCACAGAAATGATAAGCCTTTCTCTCGAGCCCTCAGCTACTAGCAGAGAGCTCCCCAAATAACCCTCAACCCTGACTGCTATTGCTAGCACATGACCACAGATTACCAGATCTCCTCTAGGTTGTCAATCTAGCACCTTTACCTCTATCCTAAACAGAATCCATCATCTGCCTCCCTCTCCTCTCTCTTCTCCCCACCACAGCTCCTTAATACTCCTTTGGGAATCACAGTTGTTCTAGGTATTCCAGTCTAGAAACCATTTGACTCTATTTCCAATGACAAAATCTGACACCAATTTTCACTGCTTTCTTTGAAATGCCTAATTCTCATCTTTCCATTGCATGTTATCAGTATCACTGCCACTTTTTCCATCAAATTGACTCTCAAACATTTGCTTATATTTAATTATACCTTGATTACCTTACACACACACACACACAAATATATACACACACACACAAGTTTTACAATTGAATTTATAACATAACTACTCTGGTCAAATCTTTTAACACTCCCTGTCGTAGTCCTTCAATAGAAGTTTTCCTAAAATTTCTCTCCAAAAAATAAACCCTCTGACATTACATTTCCAAATTAAACAAGTTGGGACTGCTTTTAAAATTTTTTCATCCATAAATTTTTTTTAACTGCTATTATCTTTGCCTGATTCCCTCATCCCACTTTATCCATCTGGACAAGGCCCATGTGTCCTTCAATTCTTGGCTCGAAATTTTTTTTTTTTTTTTCTTTTTCATTTTAAAGACTGGAGTCTCACTCTGTTGCCCAGGCTGGAATGCAGTGGCACGATCACAGCTTACTGCAGCCTCAGGATCCCAGACTCAAGCAATCCTACTGTCTCAGCCTCCCAAGTAGCTGGGACCACAGACATATACCACCATGCCTGGCTACATTTTTTTTTTTTAATTTTTTATAGAGACAGGGATCTCGCTTTACCCAGGCTGGTGTCAAACTAGCTTCAAGCTATCCTCCCACCTTGGCCTCTCAAAGTGTTGAGATTACAGATGTAAGCCACCGCACCTGGCCAGCTTGAAAACATTTTTACTGCAAAAGCTTCCCTGCAGAGTTCACTGTGCCATTTCAATATAGTTATTCTTATTTATAATGCTTACTACATGTCATTATAATTATTTACATTTCCAGGCTGGGTGCAGTGGCTCACAACTGTAATTCCACCACTTTAAGAGGGCGAGGCAGGAGAACTGCTGGAGCCTAGGAGTTCGAGACCAGCCTGGGCAACACGGCAAAATCCCACCTCTATGAAAAATTCGCCAGGCCTCATGGCACGTGCCTGTGGCCCCAGCTACTTAGAAGGCTGAGGCTAGAGAATCACTCGAGTCCAGGAGGCTGAGGATGCAGTGAGTGGTGATCATCCCTCTGCACTCCAGCCTGGGTGACAGAGGAGACCCTGTCTAAAAAATAATATTTAAACAATTCATTTCCAGAAATAAAATGTGGATATTGTATTTACTTTGATTATGGAGAAATCTGCTATTATTATAAATCACACACAGCAGCAATTTCAGCAATGAACCTATTTATACAGTTTATTCATTGAATCAATGACTGAAATATCTATTTAGCAAATATAAAAGTAAACATTTCTAAAAGAAAAGCTTAAATCAGAAATACACCAATTGAAAATAACAGTTCTAATGAGTTTACATGTTCTGTGATCTCAGTTTGTAAAGATCTACTGCAAATAAAGTTTTATCACAATAAAAAGTCACTAATCAACTGGCTAACATACAACATTAAAGATAACCGAGCAAAGTAGCTTGCAAAACTTTAAAATGTAACAGAAATAAGAAAAAGAACAGCACCTAATTTCCAAAAGTCATGCTGCCTCTGCATACCAAGCTACATATGTCCTGAGGATAAAAGAATTTGTTTGGAAGTCCACAAATACTATCCTCCTCCAACTCAATTTGATCTCTATCTACTTCCTGTCTTCTTGTGGGGGTAGGAAGAAAAGACAAAAGTAAAAGTCTGACTTTTTCCCCTATTATCAAAAACATGACTTTATGTGAGGATACTTAATCTAGAATAAAACATCACAAAACTAACACGTAAGTCAGATAGAAGTAAAAGTTAATTCTCCCCTAGGACAATGACAAGTTCTTGGGGTAGATAAAAGCAGTGGAGATAAGTATTAGATTGGTGCAAAAGTAATTACAGTTTTTGCCATCATTTTTAATGGCAAAAACCACAATTACTTTTGCACCAATCTAAAAGATATTAATGTCTCAAAAGGAACCACGAAACACTGTTCTCACTCTTCTGGGCTTTAAGACCCCGCTAGCTCTTGCCTTAAGTTGTCCACACGGAGGCCGGATGCAGTGGCTCACACCTGTAATCCCACCACTTTGGGATGCCAAGGCGGGAGGATCACCTGAGCTCACAAGTTCGAGAACAGCCTAGGCAACATGGCAAAATCCCATCTCTACAAAAAAAAATTAGCCAGTCATGGTGGTGCATACCTGTAGTCCCAGCTACTCGGGCAGCTGAGGTGGGAGAATGGCGTAAGCCCAGGAGGCAGAGTTTGCAATGAGCCAAGATCGTGCTACTACACTCCAGCCTGGGCAATCGAGCCAGACCTTGTCTCAAGAAAGAAAGAAAGAAAAAAAAAAGTTGTCCACATGAAGGAGCTGGCATTGGGGGTGGGGTTTGGGGGTGGGGAAGGGGAAGCAAAATGCCTAAACTAAAAGTCTATCATGTTCTAAGACTATAAGAGCCTCATTTTGCTATATGAGACATAGCAAAATAATCCTTTAAGTCATAGGATACAGATTCAAAGTAGATCTGGAATAGTCATAACATACCAATTCCTTCCTTCCCTGACAAGCTCACCTTACCCAACACACCTTCTCCAAAAACTTCAGCTAAAATTTCTATGAACTTATAAACTTATATACTAAAAGAGTGGCAAACGTAGACAAGAAAAATACACACATCAAGGCCAGGCGCGGTGGCTCACGCCTGTAATCCCAGCACTTTGGGAGGCCGAGACGGGCGGATCACGAGGTCAGATCGAGACCATCCTGGCTAACATGGTGAAACCCTATCTCTACTAAAAATACAAAAAAATTAGCCGGGCGTGGTGGCAGGTGCCTGTAGTCCCAGCTACTCAGGAGGCTGAGGCAGGAGAATGGCATGAACCTGGGAGGCAGAGCTTGCAGTGAGCCGAGATGGCGCCACTGCACTCCAGCCTGGGTGACAGAGTGAGACTCTGTCTCAAAAAAAAAAGAAAAAAAGAAAAATACACACATCATTGTTGCGGAAAGTCAGGGACCCCGAACGGAGGGACCAGCTGAAGCCATGACAGAACATAAATTGTGAAGATTTCATGGACATTTATTAGTTCCCCAAATTAATACTTTTATAATTTCTTACACCTGTCTTTACTGCAATCTCTGAACATAAATTATGAAGATTTCACAGACACTTATTACTTCCCCAACCAATACCCTTGTGATTTCCTATGCCTGTCTTTACTTTAATCTTTTAATCCTGTCATCTTCGTAAGCTGAGGAGGATGTATGTCACCTCAGGACCCTGTGATGATTGCATTAATTGCACAAGTTGTTTGTAGAGCATGTGTGTTTGAACAATATGAAATCTGGGCACCTTGAAAAAAGAACAGGATAACAGCAATGTTCAGGGAACAAGAGAGATAACCTTAAACTCTGACTGCCGGTGAGCCGGATGGAACAGAGCCATATTTTTCTTTCAAAAGCAAATGGGAGAAATATCGCTGAATTCTTTTTCTCAGCAAGGAACATCCCTGAGAAAGAGAATGCGTCCCTGAGGGGAAGCCTCTGAAATGGCCGCTTTGGGGACGGCTATCTTTTACGGTCGTAGCGGAGGGATGAAATAAGCCCTAGTCTCCCGTAGTGCTCCCAGGCTTATTAGGAAGAGGAAATTCCCGCCTAATAAATTTTGGTCAGACCAGTTGTCTGCTCTCAAACCCTGTCTCCTGATAAGATGTTATCAATGACAATGCGTGCCCGAAACTTCATTAGCAATTTTAATTTTGCCCCGGTCCTGTGGTCCTGTGATCTCGCCCTGCCTCCATTTGCCTTGTGATATTTTATTACCTTGTGAAGCAAATGAAGCATGTGATCTCTGTGACCCACACCCTATTCGTACACTCCCTCTCCTTTTGAAAATCGCTAATAAAAACTTGCTGGTTTTGTGGCTTAGGGGTCATCACGGAAGCTGCCGACATGTGACATCTCCCCTAGACATTCAGCTTTAAAATTTCTCTCTTTTGTAGTCTTTCCCTTTATTTCTCAGACTGGCTGACACTTAGGGAAAATAGAAAAGAACCTACGTGAAATATCGGAGGTGAATTTTGCCTGATACATCATGTGGACCAAGGTGTCACAGAAGGGTCAACATATCCAAAAACTAAAGGCATTCAAGATAGAAAATACCGTTTTTGTTTTTGTTTTTTCTTTTTAAGAGATGGCATCTCACTCTGTTGCCTACACTGGGGTGCAGTGGCACAATCGTAGCTCACTGCAACTTCAGACTCCTGGGACTCAAGGGATCTTCCTACCATGGCCTCCCAAGTAGCCAGGATTACAGGCACTCACCACCATGTCTGGTTAATTATTTTATTTTTTTGTAGAGATGCCACTGAATTGTACATTTTAAAATGGTTAAGATGGTAATAAATGTCATACATATTTTCCCACAATTAAAATTTTATTTTAAAAATCTCTACTTATCAAAAGACACCATTAAGAAAATGAAAAGGAAAGTCATGTAGGAGAAGTATTCTCAAATCAGTCATCAGGGAGACAAAAAATGAAAACCACAATGAGATACCCTTTTACATCCACTGAACTAACTAAAATTAAAGAAACTGGCAAGAGCAAATGTTGGTGAGGACATCGAGTAACTGGAATTCATACACGGCTCGTAAAGTGTAAAATGGCATTACCACTTTGGAGGACAGTTTGGCAACTGCTTATGAGGTTAAGCATACATTTATCCTATGATCCAACAATTCTACTCCTGGGTATTACCCAAGAGAAATGAAAGCACATTATCACAAAAAGGTCTGGACACAAATGTTCACAGCAACCTTACTCATAACAGCCCCAAACTGGAAACAACCCCAAATATCCAGTAAGTGATCAGATAAACAAATTGTGGTATATTTCTATAATGGATTGCCATACTCAGCAATAAAAATGAACAAACTACTTACTGATACAACCTGGATAAGTCTCAAAAGCATGATGTTGACTCAAAGCAACAAGTTAGAAAAGAATATTGTATGATTCCATTTACATGAAGTTCAAGGACGAAACTAATTTTTAGTGATAGGAAAGAGAATAGTAGTTTGGATTAGGGCAGAGAAAGACTAACTAGAAGCGGTGCATAAAGGAACTTTCTCATGTGATGTAAAAGTTCTGTATCATGATTGAGGCAGTGGCTGCAGTGGTGCAGTGTCTCTAGAAAAGATCATAAAATCAAGATCATATGCACTAATCTCCCAAGGTCAGTGTTATATTTTTCAAATATTTTTCTGAAGGAATGCATATGAACTCCTGGTCTCTCTTATAACCAAAGGGAGGTCACCAGTGTTTTCAACCTCAGCAAAGTCTGAGGTTCCTTGAAAGTACTAAAATGTCCCTAAATATAATTAGCCTCCAAGGAGATCAAGTCCATATGATGTGATCAAGGGCATGTGCTTTACGATGGCATTAGTCAGTCACCTGGCACCTCTTGCCAAGGAAACTGTTCAACCACTTGCTAGTCTATTGGCAATAAGCAACAATTTTTTTAAAAAGGTGGGGCAGGGTGAGAAAAGCTGGACCTTAAAGAATGTTCCGATTTTTCCTATTCAGGAGGAAAAAAAAAAGTTCTAGTTTCAACTCCCATCAAACTTCTCATCTGTTAAAAGTACAGTCATTGTCACACGCATCCGTGTGAAGAGAGTCCACCAAACAGGCTTTGTGTGAGCAACAAGGCTGTTTGTTTCACCTGGGTGCAGGCGGGCTGAGTCCAAGAAAAGATTCAGCAAAGGGTGGTAGGATTATCATTAGTTCTTACAGGTTTGGGATAGGCAGTGGAATTAGGAACAAATTTTTGTGGGCAGGGGGTGGATCTCACAAAGTACATTCTCAAGCGCAGGGAGAATATTACAAAGTATTTTTTTTTCTTTTGAAACGGAGTCTCGCTCTGTCCCCCAGGCTGGCGTGCAGTGGCACAATCTCGGCTCACTGCAAGTTCCGCCTCCCGGGTTCACGCCATTCTCCTTCCTCAGCCTCCGGAGTAGCTGGGACTACAGTCGCCCGCCACCACGCCCGGCTAATTTTTTTGTATTTTTAGCAGAGACGGGGTTTCACTGTGTTAGCCAGGATGGTCTCGATCTCCTGACCTCGTGATCTGCCCACCTCGGCCTCCCGAAGTGCTGGGATTACAGGCGCAAAGTACCTTCTTAAGGGCAGGGAAATATCACAAAGTACATGATCGCAAGGGCGGGGAGGGTGTATTGTCATAAGGTCAATTGATCAGTTAGGGTGGGGCAGGAACAGATTACAATGGTTGAATGTCATCTTTCATGGTTCTTCAGTTGCTTCAGGCCATCTGGATGTATACGGGCAGGTCACAGGAGATATGATGGCTTAGCCTGGGCAGAGTGGCCTGACAGTCCTACTCTTATTACTAACAGTTATAGCTGCTATCTGAAAGTCCATACTGCCTACGGCCATACCACCCTGAATGTTCCCAATCTCATCTGAAAGTCTACGCCAATTACGGTTCTTATTTTATAAAACAGTCAAGTAATACCTTCATACATATAGAAAGTCACTAAGGTCTACCTTGAAATTTAAGCAGTTTCACTAAAACATTAGTGACTCTAAAAGTCAGTGCTCAATTTCACCCACTGGGAAAACAAGCATATGGCTTTTGCTAAAAGTAGTTTTAGCTAACCTCAATGATTATGTCTGAAAAGGTTTATAGGATTATCTCAAGAGTGAGATAATCACAAAGTTTAAAATTAACAACTCAGGATTAATTTGAAAAGTCTATCTCTACAAGATTTCAATGTTTGAAAATAATAAAACTATCAGCTCCAACAAAGTCCCTTTCCCATCTTTTGGCCCCACGGTGTTTTGTTTTTATTTTATTTAAACCTATAATAAAAATAGTTTGAACCATGACACTCCTTAACCAGACCTTAAGTTAGGACACAAAAATACCATTGTAAAACAGTTTATTTTAAATTCCAGCGTGGACATATTTTCATCAAATACAAATCACAAAATATACAATTATGCAGCACAATTAGAAAACGTATAGTTTTCAGTTAGGCACAGTGACTCACTTCTGTAATCCCAGCACTTTGGGAGGCCGAGGCGGGTATATCATTTGAGGTCAGGAGTTCGAGACCAGCCTGGCCAATATGGTGAAACCCCGCCTCTACTAAAAATACAAAAATTAGCCGGGCGTGGTGGCGGGTGCCTGTAGTCCCAGCTACTCAGGAGGCTGAGGCAGGAGAATCGGTTGAACCCGGGAGGTGGAGGTTGTAGTGAGCTGAGATCACGACACTGCACTCTAGCCTGGGCATCAGAGTGAGACTCTGTCTCAAAAAAAAAATAATAAAATAAAAGTAAAGAAAATGTATAGTTTTCTAAATCACCTCTTGAAGAGGCCCTGTAAATTATGCAGCTGGTCCTGAGCAAACATTCTATGGAAAAGAAGAAAAGAATTTGCATATACCTTTACTCTAATGACCAAGAAAAATTTATCTCTATATGGTTCCACATCAGAGACTCAGATTTCGGAAAGGTCTGAATACCAGTGGGCTGAGGGAAGTCCCCAAATAGCAGTGAGCTATGGAAAAGAAGAAAAGAATTTGCATATACTTTACTCTAATGACCAAGAAAAATTTCTCTCTATATGATTCCACAACAGACACTCAGATTTTGGAAAGGTCTGAATACCAGCGGGCTGGGGGAAGTCCCCAAAGAGCAGTGAGACCTCTCCCTCAGCTGGTGTCCAGGCTCTTGACACTATCACAAGGAGAAATTCAGGAATGAGTCAGAAACAGTGAAAGTACGGAGATTTATGACAAAGCGAAAATTATAAACTCAAGAAAGGGGGGTGTGGGTATACTCAAGAGAAGGTTGTACCAAGCGGGTTGGTACTTCCATCTTTATGGGTTTCTTTACGCAAAGCATGGAATATTCAGGAAGATTCCAGGAAAACAGTTACGATTTCTCAGAACTGTAGTGCCACCCATTTCTACACCAAATATGGGTGTTCCTGGAACTGCATGGTGCTGGTGGGTATGTGATTTAGTATGTTAATGAGCATATAATGAGATCCTAGGTGAAACCTAGGTCAAATCCAGTGCCATGCTGGGTCAGTCTTAGCCAGCTTGGCCCACACTCTGGTTTTTTAAGGTCTTGTCAGCCCCTAGTTTATGCAGCTATTTCAATAGTTTCCTTTATGCTAGTCATGTAAAATTGCTGCCTGGAATTTTCTGTTCTCCTGTGACCACCCTGTATTATTCCTGTCTCAAACCTACTGAAGCATCAACTCAGTACAGACTGATGCCAAATTAGGAACCAACAACTAAAAAAACAGGCTTGTGAAAGTTTGCTCCATCATTTTTTAATTACTTCAAATCTTCTTGTACAATTTATGAAATGCATTTTGGGTTTTTGTCGGTTTTCTAAATTTATTTTTCTCAGGAGCATAGATTCAAGTTGCCCTGAATATATACTCCCTACGAAACGCATTTTGATGTGTTTACACTTGAGACTCAAGAATTATACATAGTGATACTATTCACCAAGTTTTATATTCTAAAAACTAGTGTTTTATAAAACAAATAAAGTTTGGGTGCGGCGGCACCTGTAGCCTATAGTCCCCGCTACTCGGGAGGCTGAGGCAGGAGGATCACTTAACCCCAGGAGCTCAAGCCTGCAGTAAGCTATGATTGTGCTGCTTGCACTTCATCCTGGGCAACAGAGCAAGACCCTGACTCAAAAAAAAAAAAAATCTGCAAAGTTTTTTGAAAGAAAAAAGTGAACAAGCACAAAAAAAGGAATAGAACAAATAGCTCCCAAGCCTCAAAACTGCTGTGACCAAAGGTAGACAGTATATGGTAAAGAAAGAAGTCTCTTCTTAGAAGAGAATGTCTTGGTATCGAGTAGGCGCTCAATGATTTTTACAGCCATTTAAAGAGTCAGTATCCTCCAGAGAAATAAGATTCAGCCCTAATGATAAGCATCTTAAAGCTGCAAATCCAAGTAAGTACAAGACAAAATGAAGCTTAACATTACTAGATATGACTAGAAAGATAACACAGAAAACTAATATATAATAACAAAAGCTTAATCCAATATTAAGAAGTATCTTAGTTTTGTCAGCTGTAGAAGGGGGGTGCTTGACAAAAAATTTAAGAAAAGGGGGGTAAAATATAAGCCTTTATATCTAAAACTCAAATCAAATTCTCCAGGATCAAATTCTCCTTTTAGCCAGTCAGTAATACGAAAAAACCTAACCATCTTAAAACTCAAGTGGATAGCATGAGGGGCCATATTTTTTAATATTACTATTTTATATTCTACTCAAAGAAATTAATTCACTTAGAAAACTGAAAAAAGTCTTTGGGAATATGAGAAAATACAGAGAATTTACAAAAGCAAATAAATGGCTATTGAATTGAAAATGTGGTGTCACTAAATAATGTTCCACTACAGATTACCTCTATTAAATGGTATCATTAAAGACACTGGCATTTTCAAGAAGTTAACAAAGCAAGAAACCCATTCATTCTAAAGTTGAACACTTATTAAATATCCTCCAGCCAAGCACTGCTTTCTACCTACTCTCTTAGAGTTTCTTTATTTCAGCATTGAAACAAATCTAATCTAACCACAGAGAATCAAGAAATCAGGTTTTCCATTAAACTCTCAGGCTCACCATCCTCAGAACTGGCATCTAGTACAGGAAAAAGCTCCAGGGCAGGAAGAAGTCTACTTGCCCTGCATTACTGAGCTGTAAGTTTATGTTGTTATGGGCACCAGCACAATAGAGCAAATATAAGAACAAGGAAGCAAAAAGCTGACCGGATAAGACAATCTGGTCCATGTGATCAGTTTATTAATGAGTCTGCAACTACCTAAAAGTTCCCAAGCATAACCAAATAATCTGACTTTCCCCAAAAAAATTCATTATGGGGTTACAGTTCAATACTATAAAAATATTAGATACATTAAGGAATATTTTATTCTTCAGCCTAATCTTGGTCTACATTACGATTGTAGGCTACAGAATAGAAAGAGATGAAAATCTAAGAGATAGCAGAAGGATAGTTGGTTTTGTCTCCATCTTCTAAACTTTTCCCCTAAAAGTGGGCATGGAGGCCGGGCACAGTGACTCACGCCTGTAAACCCAGCACTTTGGGAGGCCAAAGAGGGCGGATCATGAGGTCAGGAGATCCAGACCACCCTGGCTAATACGGTGAAACCCCGTCTCTACTAAAAATACTAAAAATTAGCCAGGCGTGGTGGCGGGCGCCTATAGTCCCAGCTACTCGGGAGGCTGAGGCAGGAGAATGGCGTGAACCTGGGAGGCAGAGCCTGCAGTGAGCCGAGATTGCACCACTGCACTCCAGCCTGGGCGACAGAGTGAGACACAGCATGACTCCGTCTCAAAAAAAAAAAAAAAAAAGTGGGCATGGAGAGAAGAGATCATTCAATCAGACAGTAAACCGCATCAGATATGGAAATTATTTTGTAAAAGTCATAACTGAGGAATAGATCTCCTGCTTTCCTTCTTTTATTCTATTCTCTACAATTTGTGGCAGTGTTACTTCTATTCTTTACCTCTTTGACCTAGTGGAGAAATATGACGTCTCGTTTTACTCTGCCGTATCATTTCAGTTTCTGCTGTTTTAAACAAGGCTTTCAAAAGGAATACTAGTGTGTAAGGTAAGAACTGAAAACATACACTAGCACTTTTTTAAATGTTAGTTTTTAACACATTCTTACACAGCTTTAAAGTCAGCCTGACCTTGTCTCAAAACCCAATTCAGGCATCTAGTAGTTCTGTAATCTTGAGCAAGTCACTTTTTCTTTCTCCTGCTTCCACTCCCAATGGTATCTTATGGTGTTACTGTGAGAATTAAGTGAGCTAATAAACAGGAACACTTCGAACTGTACATGCCATTTAGTAATCACATACATATTAGCTCTACCACTAATGTCCTATTGTAAATTGATCAAATACTATAGTACAAGCTGTATTTACCTCTCAAAAGAAATAGAATTATCTCCCCTGACAAAACAATCTCATGGGTTTATCAAAGAACAAACTAATGTACAACTTAAAAGCTCTTAAAACGTCTTCATTACAGAAGTATCCATTTCTTAATTCACAAGACACCTATAGTTAAAATATATTACACACAAAGCTCTGCTTAAATACTATAATAGAAAAATATATGCTTAATAAAAGTAGTCTAAATGGATAAATTACTTTGTTAAGCGAAACCAAACTCTGAATAAATACCATTATTTTCATACTTTAAAGCTATTATTTACTGAACTATGTGCCAATCACTGGGCTATGTACTTTTTACGCACTATCTTATTCAATCTTCATAGTTGTTGAAGGAGGTGCCACTTAACCCACTTAACAGTGAGGACTTCAAGGTTCCCAAGGATTCAATAACTTGTCCAAGGTCAAAGCTAGTATGTTTCTAGATTCTAATATAACAGGGTAGGACAAACAACTCACCATAATGGGACAAGATCAACCTGCATGCCCTAGTTTTCCCCTAAAATAGAATCTTTTCAAAGTCTCCAAATATTACAATCTATAATGACATTAAAAACTTAGATACTAAGGAAAAGAGACCACATTAGTGTAGATTTTTATATTAAAATGCAAGTATGGCAAGAGAAAACTCCAGAAATTACACATACAAAAGAAAAATTGGGCTCTAGAATAGCCAAATGGGATACCACCTTCTTCAAGTAATCTAATACACAGTTGCTCATTTGATTAGATGCGTGCTAACATCTTTAATGTCCAGAGCTTAATTTTTTTTTTCTCTTTGAGACAGAGTCTCTCTCTACCGCCCAGGCTGGAGTGCAGTGGCACGATCTCAGCTCACTGCAAGCCCCGCCTCCCAGGTTCACACCATTCTCCTGCGTCAGCCTCCGGAGTAGCTGAGTCTACAGGTGCCCGCCACAATGCCCGACTAATTTTTTGTATTTTTAGTAGAGATGGGGTTTCACCGTGTTAGCCAGGATGGTCTCGATCTCTTGACCTCGTGATCCACTCACCTCTACCTCCCAAAGTGCTGGAATTACAGGCGTGAGCCACCGTGCCCAGCTAGAGTTTAATTTTCATAAGCAAATTTATTCACTTCCATAGATATTATACATAATATAAACATGTTTTTATCCATAAATCAACTACCCTAAAAACATGTACTATCATAGGGAAATAAGTAGACGAATATGTATGGCTGGACAACCACAAGTGCATCATCTCATTGAGAGGTGGTAAGAAAGCAAAACTAAAAATGCCTACTTTAGCCAGGCACAATGGTGCACACCTGTGGTCCCAGCTACTTGGGAGGCTGGGGCAGAAGGATGGCTTGAGTCCAGGAGTACAAGTCTAGACTGGGCAACACAGTGAGACCCAGTCTCCTAAAAAAAAAAAAAAAAAAACACAGAACTGCTCTGTTGGGTTTACACTATCATCTTTATGTGCAAAGAACAAGACTATCATTGATGACTAAAGTCTGATTAGTACCTCTCAGTTCAAAAATTATGTGAAGATAATGGAAGAGAGCATACCTGGTGACAACCACCCAGTGAAATACAAATGAAGCCAGCAAGATGCATTTTAATTCTCAAATTTTAAAATAACTTGACCGATAGTAAAATAAGCTACATTTGCATTTAGTTAAGAAGATTAAAAATATACTAAAAATTCTGATGGTATACAAATCTGAGATAGCACGAGAAATATTTTGCCAACTGTGATGTGTATCCAAGAACTTGGATATAAAAGCATCCTCAAAATTAATCTATAAAAACCCATGAAAGATTGTCTGTGGTTATATAAAATAACATTCTTCACAGTTTTTTTTGCCTGGATAATAAAAAGAAAAAAAAAAGATAATGTCCTTATTCTCAAGAAATAAACTCTCCACCTGTAATCCCAGCACTTTGGGAGGCCGAGGCAGGTGGATCATGAGGTCAGGAGATCAAGACCATCCTGGCTAACACAGTGAAACCCCATCTCTACTAAAAATACAAAAAATTAGCCAGACCTGGTGGCACGCACCTGTAGTCCCAGCTACTAGGGAGGCTGAAGCAGGAGAATCGCTTGAACCCAGGAGGCAGAGGTGGCAGTGAACTGAGATCGCACCACTGCACTCCAGCCTGAGCAACAGAGCAAGACGCCATCTCAAAAAATAAAAATTTTAAAATTTTATAAAAAGAAATAAACTCTCAAGTATTTAGAGGCAAAGGGGCACAGTGCTTCCAACTTACTCTAAAATGATTCAGGGAAAAAATATGGAGAAAGGGAGAAATAATAAAGCACATGAAACAAAATGTAAACAATTGGTGAAGAACATTGAGAGTTCCTTATATTATTTCTATAACTATTATTATTTTCACATAACATAGCAAAGTTAGTTTTTAAAATCTGAACTATGACAGGGATAAATATTTGTTAAATTAGGTCGTAGGTACATGAACATTCATCACATCAGTTCATTATCCTTTTGCTTTTTCATTATTTTCCTTATGGCAAAATCCACATTTTTTTAAAAAATGTTGTACTCTAGTCCCAGGTAAAGTACTCTGACCATGAGGAATGCTGCATAAGACTATCTCTGAATGATACTATTAATCATCTGAATCATAATTAGTCTTGATCACTTCCGTGCCTTCCCAGCAATCTTTGATTATAACTTTACTAATAAGTTAGTTATACCAATTTAGTACCCTGTTAAATTTCCACCAAAAAAAGGAACATTTTGAAAAGAACTTTAACTATGAAACCAAAAACAAAAATGAAAGCACTCTGGGGACAGATGACAAGACAGTGATTATCTCACAGTATGTAGTGCCTAAGAAAGGATGGAAGGGAACCTTAGTAGGGAGAGAGCTATAAATGTTCTGTATATTAATATGGGTGTAGTTACATGGGTCTATACATATCTAAAAAGCTGCCAGGCTTTAATTTAGGGTTACTATACCTTATACGTGTATTACATCTCAATTTTTATAATTAAGAGAACAAAAGAGAAGCACTTAGAGAACTCACTGGTTCAAGTCAAAAATCTACAATGTAATAGACTGAAACAAATTACAATAGCATTCAGATTTATAACCTGTCCTTATAATCCTGATCAACATTAGTGTATCTCTGAGATGGGAATTTTTTCAAAAGAATAAACCATTCCAGAATTTTGAGAAGGTGTACAGTGAAATCAATGCACATGTGCAAAGAAGAATAAAGAGCTGGCTGTCAGGAGTTCCTACCAAATAACATGAAATCTTGATAAATCCGTGACATTGCTGTCTTACAAAAAAGGGCTAAAAATCAGGTTAGACATACTCCTTCCCTCCAATGGTCTTAATCTGCTTTAAAAAAAAAAAAAAAAAGGATTCTCTCTCCCCTTCTAGGAGGACTACGGAAATAGAAAATTATTTTTTTAAAACATAGCTTTGGCAGCCAGGTGTGGTGGCTCATGCCTGTAATCCCAACACTTTGGAAGGCCAAGGCAGGCGGATCACGAGGTCAGGAGTTCAAGAACAGCCTGGTCAATATGGTGGAACCCCATCTCTACTAAAAATACAAAAGTTAGCTGGGCATGAGGGCACGCGCCCATAGTCCCAGCTACTTGGGAGGCTGAGGCAGAAGAATCGCTTGAACCCAGGAGGCGGAAGTTGCAGTGATCATGCCATTGCACTCCAGCCTGGGCGACAGAGTGAGACTCTGTCTCAAAAACAAAACAAAATAAAACAAAAAAACAGCTTTGGCAGAAACTAAATACTATTATCACTTTGGATGTTGTCCTCCTTTGTTCAAAGCAATATATGTATGTACAGAACAACCAAAAGTCATTGTATATAATGATTAACAGTACCATGAAACTAACATTTAAGAGGCAAGTATGGAAAAAGGGGTAGATTAAACTACTGTCTTCCTTCCACTGACTATATCTCATTTCAGAGATTCAAGTACTGTTAACCTTGTTGTGTCAGTATTTCCACTGCAGAATTTAACACAAAAAGTTTTACTTATTAAATAGTGACATAAAGTTGCCAAATCAATTCAGAAACAATTCTCAACTATAGAGAAATTCAAGATTTTTAAACCAACCACTCTCAAAGTTAGGTCATTTTTAAGTTTTTTTTTTTTTTTTTTTCTTTTGAGACAGCGTCTCACACTCTGATGCCCAGGCTGGAGTGCAGTGGTGTGATCATGGCTCACTGCAGCCTCCACCTCCCAGGATCAAGTGATCCACCCAACTCTACCTCCTGAGTAGCTGGCACTATTCACACGCATCAGCATGACCAGCTAATTTTTTTATTTTTATATTTTTGTAGAGACAGGTCTCACTATGTTGCCCATGCTGGTCTCAAACTCCTGGGCTCAAGCAATCCTCTTGCCCCAGCTTCCCAAAGTGCTGGAATTACAAGCGTAAGCCACTGTACCCAGTCAAAAATTCATATTCTTTTTTCTCTTTCAAGACAGGCTCTCACTCTGTAGCCCAGGCTGGAGTGCAGTGGCACAATCACAGCTCACTGCAGCCTTGACCTTCCTGGCTCAAGTTATCCTCCCGCCTCAGCCTCCCAGGTAGCTGGGACTACACACATGTGCCACCACGCTCAGCTAACTTTTTGTAGAGACAGGGTTTCGCCATGTTGCCTAGGCTGGTCTCGAACTCCTGGGCAATCCTCCCACTTCAGCCTCTCAAAGTGCTAAGATTACAGCCATGAGCCACTGCACCTGGCCAAGTTCATATTATTAATGTGAATATAATGCTAGGTTTGGAAGTCTACATAAAAGATCTGGGATGACCATTTATATTAAATCCTACAAGAGGCAAAACTAACCTATAGTGATGGAGATATGATCAGTGGTTCACTGAGCAGTAGAGAGAATTAATGGCCAAAGGGTACCTGGAATTCTTTTTGCAGTAATGGAAATATTCTACATATTAATCAGGTGGTGATTTTATAACTGTATATATTTTCCAAAATATACGAAGTGAATTTTGTTGTAGACAATTTACCTTAATTGACTTTCAAAAGCAAAAATATTATACAAACACACTCCTAAGGCTTTAAAAAATTATCTGGAAATCAAATAGTATGAAAGGAATTCACTGAACTGATTCAACTGAAAGACAAAAATTCAAAGACTATGTGTCTGGAACCCAATCTATGTGCTGTCCACAGTTACTAGGGCTCTTCTTACCTGCTGTACTCTCCACACACCCCTCACACCTCTCAAACACTTGTCCAATGCTATAAACAGTTCAGTCAAAATTCAGACCTTCCCAGTAAGTGTTAGAATAATAATCTAAAAAGAGTTGAGCATTTCCATTTTAAAAACCTTCTATGAGGCCGGGCGCGGTGGCTCACGCCTGTAATTCCAGCACTTTTGGAGGCCAAGATGGGCGGATCAAGAGGTCAGGAGATCAAGACCATCCTGACTAACACGGTGAAACCCTGTCTCTGCTAAAAATACAAAAAAAAGTTAGCCGGGCATGGTGGCACGCAACTGTAGTCCCAGCTACTCGGGAGGCTGAGGCAGGAGAATCGCTTGAACCTGGGAGGCGGAGGTTGCAGTGAGCCGAGATTGCGCCACTACACTCCAGCCTGGGTGACAGAGCAAGACTCTGTCTAAGAAAAAATAAAAATCCATGAGAGAGAAAAAACCTGAAAAACAGACCAAAAAAAAATTACAAAAGAAATGCAAATGTTCAACACACATATGAAAACATGTCGACTTCATAAATAATCAGAAAAAATGAAAATTAAAACAATAAAGAAACTGTTTTCCATCAAAAAGATTGGCAGAAAAGTAAGATGTTGCTTAATTTCAAGTACTGGCACTGGTGGAAAAATGAGTGTTTTCTGTTTGTTTGTTTTTGAGATGGAGTCTTGCTCTATCACCCAGGCTGGAGTGTAATGGCACAATCTCAGCTCACTGCAACCTCTGCCTCCCAGGCTCAAGCGATTCTCCTGCCTTAGCCTCCCGAGTAGCTGGGATTACAGGCACACGCCACCCCGCCCAGCTAATTTTTGTATTTTTTAGTAGAGACAGCGTTTCACCATGTTGCCCAGACTGGTCTTGAACTCCTGACCTCAGGTGATCCACCTATCTTGGCCTCCCAAAGTGCTGGGATTACAGGCATGAGCCACCATGCCCAGCCAAAAGTGAGCAATTGTACACACTTTTGATAATGGTAAAACTGCTAAAGCTACTTTGAAGAGTACCTTGACAATATACTACGACTACTACTACGTATTCCATATAGCCAAGTAACTCTACTTCCCTTGATATATTTCAACAAAGTCGGCGCAAATATTCCCTGAGGCATGTTTTAAAAACTTTGAGCCAGGAGTGGTGGCTCACACCTGTAATCCTAGCACTTTGGGTGGCCAAGGAGGGTGGATCACTTGAGCCCAGGAGTTCAGGATCAGCCTAGGCAACATGCCGAGACTTCGTCTCTATTTTAAAAAAACTTAAAAAAAAATTTTTTTTAAACTTCACACCAACAGGTTGTAAAAACAAAAAACTAGAAACAGCCTAACCATCCATCAATTGGGGAAAAATATATAGAGTAAATGTACAGCATATTTAAAAAGAAGAAAGAGAAAAAAAGAAAGCTACATATCATTTGGTGGTACATACATACATAAGGGCACTGGGGGGAAAGCCTAAAAGAAAAAAAATGTGGCCAGGCACAGTGGCTCATGCCTGTAATCCCACCACTTTGGGAGACCAAGGCCAGCGGATCACCTGAGGTCAGGAGTTCGAGACCAACATGGCCAATATGATGAAACCCCGTCTCTACTAAAAATACAAACATTATCTGGACGTGGTGGCAGGCGCCTGCAACCCCAGCTACTAGGGAGGCTGAAGCAGGAGAATCACTACCCAGGAGGCGGAGGCGGCAGTGACCAGAGAGATCATGCCATCGTACTCCAGCCTGGGGGACAAGAGCAAGACTTTGTCTAAAAAAAAAAAAAAAAAAAGAAAAAAAAAATGTAGTGATTACCCGTACAGACGATGAGAAAAGAACGGGATTAAAAATGATGGCTAGACAGGCGTGGTGGTTTGCGCCTGTAGTCCCAGCTACTTGGGTGGCTGAGGCAGGAGAATCGCTTGAACCCAGGAGGTGGAGTTTGCAGTGACCTGAGATCATGCCACTGTACTTCTGTGGGGGCGACAAAGCAAGACGTCGTCTCAAAAAAAAAAAAAAAAAAACAAAGGCTAGAGATTTTAGCATTACATTTTAATATTTTACAAGGATATGTAGTCATGATTGTGGTAAAAATTTTAAAAAAAGAAAAAGGTATTTTAAAAGGAGCATTTCTTCACCTACTTGTATACTGAAAATTAATTCCAGGAGGTGCTGATGCAAACAAGAAACTAATATAATACATTTTCCTCCCTTAAAGAGTCTCCATCCAAGGAATGTTACTATCATTTCTCACAAGTGTTGCTGTGCCCAATGCATGCACCTTATTGCATGCACACTGCTTTAGAAAGGCCATCAGTATTTGAGTTCTCTTTTTTGATAAACCTCTACCACTACCACTAAGAACAGAAGTACCGGCTAAACACCTCGAAATTAAAATAAAAAAACAAGAATTTAAAACAAAAATGTTTTAAAACTACAAAATATTATTGAAAAAAATTAAAGACCACCTAAACAGAAACATCTCTTGTTCACTGATCTAAAGATAACCTTTTAAGGTGACAACAAACTGACAAAATGATCTATAGATTCAATGCAATCTTTCTATCAGTGAGCTTTTTGCATACATCAACAAGCTGATCCTAAAATTCATGTGCAAATACAAGGGACCCAGAATAACCAAAACAACCATGAAAAAAGGACAAAGCTGAATAACTCACACTTCTCAAGTATATCTTTGTAGTAAGTTTTGAAATTATCAAGAAAATGTGGTACTAGCATAAAGACACACAGATCAATGGAATAGAATTTAAAGTCAAGAAATAAACTCTTACATAGATGGTTAATTTATTTAACATTTATTTAACATCTATGTTATTTAACAAAGATGCTAGAACAACTCAACGAGGAAAGAACAGTTTTCAACAAACGGTGGTGGGACAACTGAATATCCATCTACCAAAGAATTAAATAAGAACTCTACCTCACACCATATACAAAAATTAACTCAAAATAGACACAGACCTAAATGTAAGTGCAAAAACTATTAAACTTCTATATGAAAACACAGGAGTAAATCTTCATAACCTTAGATTAGGCAATGGTTTCTGAGATATAAAACCAAAAGCATTTAGTGGCTAAAGAAAAATGAAATAAATGGGATTTCATCAAAATTAAACATTTTTGTGCTTTAAAGGGCACAATCAGGACAACCCAAGGATAAGGAACTTCTATCCAGAATACATAAAGAACTCCCATGACAATAATTTAAGTTCCAAATTAAAAATAGGCAAAGAATCTAAATAAACATTTTTCCAAAGAAGATACACAAATGACCAATAAGTACACAAAAGATGCCCAGCATCATTAGGCATCAAGGAATTACAAATCAAAGCCACAATGAGATACCACTTTAAACCCACTAGCATGACTAAAATCAAAAGGGCAGATAATCACAAATGTAATCAAGAATGTGGAGAAATTAAAATCCTAATAATTGCTGATAGGAATGTGACATGGTATAGCTCCACTGTGGGAAACAGTGTGGTAGTTCTTCAAAAAGTTAAACATACAGTTACCAAATGATTCAGCCATTTCACTCCTAGGTATATACCCAAGAAAACTGAAAACGTGTGTCCCCACAAAAATCTGTACATAAAGATTAAAAGCACCAGTATTCACAATAGTAAAATAATAAAAACCCAAATGATCACTGACGGATGAACAAAATGTGGTATATCCATACACACAATGGAGTATTATTCAGCCATTAAAAGGAATTAAGTACTGATAATGTGCTACAACACAGATGAAAATGAAAATGCTTTCATGCTAAATGAAAGCAGCCAGCACAAAAGGCCACATGTACGGTTCTATTTAAATAAAATATCAAAATAGGTAAATGCATTGAAAGAGAAAATCAACTAGCAGTTGCGAAGGTCTAAAGAGGAGTGGGAAAGTGGAATAACTGCTACAGGGCATGAGGTCTCTGTTAGGGATTCTGAAATTAAATAGCAGTTATGACCATGCAACTCTGAACATGCCCAAAATCATTACATTGTATACTTTATTTTTATTTTATTTTATTTTTTGAGACCGAGTCTTGTTCTGTGGTTCAGGCTGGAGTGCAGTGGCTTGATCTCAGCTCATTGCAACCTCCGCATCTTGAGTTCAAGTGATTCTCATGCCTCAGCCTCCCAAACAGCTGGGACCACAGGTGCCCACCATCACACCCAGCTATTTTTTTGTGATTTTAGTAGAGACGGGTTCGTCTTGTTGGCCAGGCTGATCTCAAACTCCTGGTCTCAAGTGATCCACCCATCTCAGCCTCCCAAATTGCTGGGATTACAGGCATGAGCCACCATGCCCGGCCCTAGTTGTGTACTTTAAAAGACTGAGTTTTATGGCCTATGAATTACAGCTCAACAAAGCTGTTTTTTTTTTTTTTAAAGAAAACAAATAAAAAGGTAGGTATTATTTTTACATTCTTACTCCTGGTTCCTTCTTTTTAAAATGAAATTTACTCTTTTAAGAGCCTCTGCAATTATCCACTACAATTACTCTTAATTTAAAATCAACTTATCTCCAAGGGTTAGGCTGTTTGCAAGCTACCAGTCCAATATATCCAGACAGAACATAGCACACACAAATTAACACTGACGTCAAAAAATTCAGGCTGGGAGCAGCAGCTCACACCTGTAATCCCAATACTTTGGGAGGCTGAGGCAGGAGGACTGCTTGAGCCCAGGAGTGTGAGACCGATCTGACTAACATAGTCAGACTCCATCTCTACAAAAAACAGTAAAACTAGCCAGGCATAGTGATGCACACCTCTGGTCCCAGCTACTGGGGAGGATAAGGTGGGAGGATCCCCTGAGCCTCGGAGGAGCCAGCTACAGTGAGCAGTAATTGTGCTACTGCACTCTAGCCTGGGTGACAGAGTTTGCTCTGTCTCCAAAAAAATAAAATAAATTTAAAGGGGAAATGCTTCTCAAATTATTTCATGCCAAACATTTTAAAAGCCTATTACTTAGACAATTATATCTATTATCAATATTAGTATGGACAGCCAAATTAATTATAAACTGTCAAATCTAGCAATTCTATTCTTGGTTCAAGATACAAAAAATATACATATACACTAACAATGAACAAGCCAAAAAAAGAAATTAACAAATTCCATTTACAATAGCATAAAAAAGAATTACTTAGAAATAAACTTAACCAAGGAAGCAAAAGACTATTATACTGAAAACTACAAATCACTACTAAAATAAATTAAAGAATACACAAATAAATGAAAAAATATCATGTGTTCATGGATTGGAAGACTTTATATTGTGAAGATGTCAATACTACCCAAAGTGATCTACAGATTTAATGCAATCCCTATTAAAATCCCAATGGCATTTTATGCAGAAATAGAAAAATTCAGTCTAAAATTCACACGGAATTTCAAAGAACCCCGAATAGCCAAAGTGAACTTGAAAAGAACAATGTTGAAGAACTCACACTAACTGACTGCAAAACTTACTACAAAGCTGCAGTAAACAAAACAGTGAGGAAACTGGCATAAAAATAGACATATAGGCCAACAGAATAAAGCAGACAGCCCAGAAATAAACACTTACATATATGGTCAAATGATTTTCAACAAGGATACCAAGACCATGCAATGGGAAAAGGACAGTCTTTTCAATGAGTGGTATTGAGAAAACTGGATATCCATAAGCAAAACAATGAAGCTGGACCTTTATTTTAGACTATATGTAATTAACTGTTTTTAATTAACATGAGTTAATTTAAAAATTAACTCAAATGGATCAAAGACCTAACTATAAGAGCTAAAACTGTAAGACTCTTAGAAGAAAACAGGGGAAAAGCTTCATGACATAGCATTTGGCAATGATTTCTTGGATAAGACACCAAAAGTACAGGCTAAGAAAGAAAAAGCTAACTTTATCCAAATGAAAATCTTTTGTGCACCAAAGGGCACTATCAACAGAGTACAAAAGGCAACTCACAGAATGGAGAAAATACCTGCAAATTACATATCTGTTAAGGAATGTTTAGAATATATTTTTACAACTCAAGAACAAAAACCAATCCAATTCACAAGTAGGCAAAGGGCTTTGAATATGGGCTTTTTGGCCCCTTGAAATTGAAATGTTGAAACCCTAACCCCTGATATGACTGTATTTGAAGACAGGGCCTTAATTACACCTGTAAGACGTAATTAAGGTTAAATAAGGTCATGCAGATGGATCCTTGATCCAATAGGATTAGTGTGCTTAAAAGACAAGACACCAGAGACCTCACTCTAGGAAGAGAGCCATCACCAAAAATCAAACCCTGCCAGACTTATTTCTGTTGTTTAAGCCACCCAGAGTGTGATATTTTGTTATGGTAGCCTGAGAAAACTAATAAAGACTTGAACAGACATTGTTCCAAAGAAGCACAAAAGGCCAATACATACAAGAAAAGATACTCAACATCCCTAGTTGGCCAAGTGCAATGGCTCACCCCTGCAGTCCCAGCACTTTGGGAGGCCAAGGTGGCAGATCACTTAAGCCCAGGAGTTTGGGACCAGCCTGGGAAACATGGCAAAACCCTATGTCTACATAAAAAAAATACAAGCTGGGCACAGTGGCTCACACCTGTAATCCCAGCACTTTGAGAGGCCGAGGAGGGTGGATCACAAGGCCAGGAGATTGAGACCATCCTGGCTAACATGGTGAAACCCCGTCTCCACTAAAAAAAAAATAAAAAATAAAAATAAAAAAAAAAACTACAAAAAATTAGCTGGGAGTGGTGACACGCACCTGTAGTCCCAGCTACTCAGGAGGCTGAGGCAGGAGAATGGCGTGAACCCAGGAGGCGGAGCTTGCAGTGAGCCGAGATGGCGCCACTGCACCCCAGCCTGGGCAATAGAGCAAGACTCCGTCTCAAAAAAAAAAAAAAAAAATTGGCTGGATGTGGTAGTGTGCACCTGTGGTCTCAGCCACTCTGGAGGCTAAGGTGGGAGAACCGATTGAGCCTGCAATGAGCCCTGATCACCCCACCGCACTCCAGTCTGGGTGACAGAGTGAGACCCAGTCTCAAAAAAAAAAAAAAAACACTAGTCACTAGGGAAATGTGAGTCAAAACTACAATTAGATACTACTTCACACCCATTATGATGGCTATTTTAAATTTTTTTTAAGTGCTGGCTGGGTTGTGTGGATCCTTGTGCATTGCTGGTAGGAATGTAAAATGGTACAGCTACTGTAGAAAATAGAGATTTCTCAAAAAATTAACACACAGAATGACCATATGATCCAGTAATTCCACTTCTCGGTATATACCCAAAAGGAGTAAAAGCAGAGACTTGATATACAGATATACACAGATACGTGTACACCAATGTTCATAGGAGCATTCTTCACAATAGCTAAAAAGTAGAAGCAACCCAACTGTCCATCAATGGATAAATGGGTAAACAAAAATAATTCCAATTCTAGGTATATACCCACAAGAAGTAAAAGCAGGTACTTAAACAGATATTTGTACACCAACATTCATAGGAGAATTATTCACAACAGCCAAAAAGCAGAAGCAACTCAACTGTCCATCAACAGATAAATGGATAAACAAAATGTAGAGTCTACACACGATGGAGTATTTTTCAGTCTTTAAAAGACATGATACAGGCCGGGCGTGGTGGCTCACAGTTGTAATCCCAGCACTTTGGGAGGTCAAGGCAGGAGAATCACCTGAGGTCAGGAGTTTGAGACCAGCCTGGCCAACATGGCAAAACCCCGTCTCTACTAAAAATTAGCTGGGCAAGGTGGCGGGTGCCTGTAATCCCAGCTACTCGGGAGGCTGAGGCAGGAGAATCACTTGAACCCAGGAGGCAGAGGTAGCAGTCAGCACAGATGGCGACACTGCACTGCAGCCTGGGTGACAAGGGCAAAACTCCATCTCAAAAAAAAAAAAAGACATGATATACAAATTAGCTGGTGTGGTGCCGCATACTTGTAGTCCCAGCTGCTTGGGAGGCTGAGGCACAAGAATTTGCTTCAACCCAAGAGGTCGAGGTTGCAGCAAGCCGAGATGGCACCACCGCACTCCAGCCTGGGCAATAGAGTGACACTCTGTCTCAAAAAAAAAAAAGAAAAAAAAAAAAGACATGGATGTACCTTAAAGACATTATGTTAAGTGAAATAAGCCAGTCATAGAAGGTCAAATATTATATTATTTCACTTATATGGAGGTATGTACGGTAGTTAAATTCACAAAGATAGAAAATAGAATGGTAATTGCCAAGGACTAGGAAGAGGAT